>NT_187639.1:0-171027 GCF_000001405.40 Homo sapiens | reverse complement strand
GAATTCCCCATGAGTCCTGTGACCTCAGCCCACACGGGGACCTACAGGTGCTACGGCTCACTCAGCTCCGACCCCTACCTGCTGTCTCACCCCAGTGGCCCCGTGGAGCTCGTGGTCTCAGGTGAGGGCGCTGACCCTGTCCTCTCTGAGCTCAAAGGCTCAGCTCAGGCCCTGCCCCCAGCAGAGCTCTGGACACTAAGGAAAGAGGGGAGTGAAGGGAGAGGGTCCGCAGGGGAGGGTCCAGCCCATGGGAAGATGGAAATAGACAGGGACCTCCCACCCCTGGCTCCCACCCCTGAAGTCTCAGTAGAGTAAAGTGCAGGGAGGGCTGGGAGGAGACGGGGGGTGAACCTCAAAGGAGTTGAGATTAGACTGAGGGTGGAAGACGGAGGCCCCACCTGCTCCCATCCTGGTGTCTCCACCTCAGAATCAGAGCCTCTGTGTCCCAGTCCCCAACAGACGCCCTCCTGGAGAGAGAAGCATCCAGGCTGCCGGTGCCACCTGCATCCACCCCCGACCCCCCCCCACCCCGCCCCACTTCCTGCTTTCCCCTGCAGCCTCCCCAGCACTCAGCGCACACCTGAGCCTCACAGGGACTTGCACGTGCTCCCGCAGCAGCTCAGGGAATGTGCACCGCTCCTCTTCTGCGCCGTTGACATTTTTTATTTGGGTTTTTAAAATCTCATATTGGCCTTTTTGTCCAAGCTGGTGAAAGTAGATTTGCAGCATCACCTATTTTTATTCTCACCCGGTTTCGTAATAGCCCTGATCTCACGTGCTCCCTGAGGTTTTGTAAACTTCAGGTAGAAATGTGGACTTCCTTCGTTCTGGACATTTGCTATGGAGGGGGTAGGGCTTATCTTTTCAGAAAAAGTCAAATGACTGGTACCACTCCTTGAAACCCTACAGCACTTTCCAGACCTCAGAGGGAGGGAGAGAGAGGCAGAGACAGAGACAGAGAGACAGAGAGAGAGATATTGGGGCCGCTCTTTCCTGGCCGGTTCATCCTGGCCTATTCTCAATCCACCAAGGCCCCGAAGCTCATCTCCCCTCCTCCTCTGCCTCCTCCTCCACCCTGTAGACAAGCGGCCATTCCTTTCTGAAGAACAGGCTGAGACCTTTCTGGGACCTGCTCTTTCTGGAGCCTCTGTTGCTCCCTGTCTGGGTCTCCACACGCCTCCTTCCTGGCCCTTTTTCCTATTGAGGAATCAGCTTCAATGTCACCTCCAAGTGTGACCTTCACTGACGACACAGCTCAGCCCAGTCCTGCCTGCTTCTCATTTATGTCAAGTAATTAACCAACCTACACCATGCGGCTGAATTCCTTCTCTCTCTCTTCCACTCTCTGCATATACGTGTGTGTGTGTGTGTGCGCGTGTGTGGTCACACCAACATCTTACGTGACATTGAAACCTAGTTATCCGTATATCTATACAAATAATATATATTCACACATAAATATAGGTCTCTACCAATATATCTAAAACCATTGCTACGACTAGTAAATTTCCACTGCTGTGTTTCTATATGTTTGCTGTTTGTCTCCAGGTGAACCCACACTTCAAGAAGGCAGAGATAGTTTTTAAGGCCCACTATATATATAAAACAGATATATATTTGTGTTTGTGTTTTTCTGTGTGTGTATCACATTCTACCTGTTGCTGCCTATACGAATAATTAGCTACCTAGAGATTAAATGGACAATGAAACTCCAGGTGAAGTGGCTGAGGGCATGAAGGGGAGGCAGCCCCAGAATTTCACCCCTTTGTGCTTCTGACATTGAGGCTCCCCTGATGACTAACCCTCATCCACGGAGCCTGGGTCCTCAGCTGGTGGATCCGTGAAACTCTCATCTCCGGGGGAGTTGGCTCATGTTCTCCTGTGTCCCAGGCTGCACAGAGAGCACACAGGCCTTAGTGACCTCTGTACTGGGGACCACTTTCCTTGCAGATCCTGAGCTCTCAGGATGCAGGAAAACTCTCTCCCAGATGACTCAGGAGCAATGTTTAAATCCATAGAACACAGGAAAACTGAAATCGTTCAATGAGGAGACTAGAGGGAATCCTGCTAGCGGAGGAAGAGGTTTTTTTTTTTTTTTTTTAGAAATTCTGTAAAAGTCACATCATGAGACATTAAGTAATAAAAAAAAAATTGCAGAGCCCAGGTGAGAGGCTGGGCTCAGGTCTCTTTTTCTCTGTTTTGATTCTCTGGAGCAGCTGATACCCTCAGCCCATCACAAAACAAGTCTGACTCTGAGACTGGTATGTGAGGAGATACTCTCAGTGATGGGGCTGGCACTGAGGGTTGGGTCCTGTGAAGGGGAGGTGGGTGCCCTGGGTGGACAATCTGATCCACCCTGACCTCTGTGACCTCTTTGTCCACCATCCCCAGCCTCACACCTTCAGGATTACGCAGTGGAGAATCTCATCCACATGGGCGTGGCTGGCTTGATCCTGGTGGTCCTCGGGATTCTGTCATTTGAGGCTTGGCACAGCCAGAGAAGCTTCCCAAGATGCAGCCGGGAGGTGAACAGCAGAGAGGATAATGTACTTTATAGAGTCGTGAAGCCTCAGGAACAGATCTGATGATCCCAGGAGGTTCTGGAAGAAAATCTAGGGCCGATGCTATCTGGACTGTCTGCTGGTCATTTCCAGAGGAAGGAATCAATGTCCGAGTGCAGGGACATTTTCTGGGGTGATCCATGGAGAACCATTAAAATGTGATACCTTTCCTCTCCATTAATGTTGACTTTCCTTGGTTGGATCTGCCTCTTTTCCCACACTTAGACATGAGGCTCCATCCCACATGGCAGCGTTGGGTCCACACCTCTGCACACCTGCATGCTCTGGTCCATGGCGTGTCACACAGTCCTCTTCATTTCTCATTGCCACACTTCCTGGTGTACTTTACTGGGTCTTCATGTCTTCAGTTCAGAGTTCCGCACCTGGTTTAGGAACTAATTCAACGGGAGAAGATCAGAGTCCGACCAGGAAAAGATAAATGCACCGTGATGCCCTCACCTCCTGTGTGGACCCTATGAGCTCTTCCCTCCTTATCAGATGCTATCTGTGTAGTTTCTCCTGAAATATCACCACCTGGAATCAACACACTGGCATTTGAAGTCACGACCCAATGGTATGCTAATTCTGAAAAAGACATTTTTTGAAATGCTATGATTAGTGGCATTTACCAATTTCCTTGACGTAAATTCTTTTTTCATGGCCATAATCAAGATGCCAACGAGACATCCCTGAATGCAGGGTTGGGAAGCGTTGGACAGACTTGTCTTCACTCATAAGCACCAGGCATCTGATAGCTCACGTATACATCTTATTACCTTCCATTTTAGAGTGAATAATCATTTCTACTTCAGTATTTTGGCACAGGTAAAAGCAGTCCCATTACTGCGCGTATACCCAAAGGAATATAAATCATTCTATTGCAAAGATACATGCACACATGTGTTCATCGCAGCACTATTCACAATAGCAAAGACATAGAATCAACCCAAATGCCCATCAATGATAGACTGGATAAAGAAAATGTGAGACATATACACCACGGAATACTATGAAGCCATAAAAAGAAACAAGATCATGTCCTTTGCAGGGACATGGATGGAGCTGGAAACCATTATCCTCAGGAAACTAACACAGGAACAGGAAATCAAACGCTGCATGTTCTCACTTACAAGTGGGTGCTGAACAATGAGAATGCGTGAACACAGGGAGGGGAACAACACACACTGGGGCCTGTCGGGGGGGGGGTGGGGTAGGGGTAGGGAGAGCATTAGGAAAAATAGCTAATGTATGCTGGGCTTAATACCTAGGTGATGGGTTGACAGGTGCAGGAAACCACCATGGCGCACATTGACCTATGCAATAAGCCCACACATTCTGCACATGTACCCCGGAACTTAAAATAAAAATAAAAATTAAAATTAAATTATGACACCATGATCCTAGCATATCCAAAAAAGACAAAAATGCCAATATCAAATGTCGGAGAAAATAGGGCTGAATTAAAAATCCAATACAACGCCGGGCGCAGTGGCTCACGCCTGTAATCCCAGCACTTTGGGAGGCCAAGGTGGGTGGATCACTTGAAGTCAGGAGTTTGAGACCAGCCTGGCCAAACGTGGTGAAACCCTGCCTCTACTAAAAATACAAAAATTAGCCGGGTGTGGTGGCACTCGCCTGTAGTCCTAGCTACTAGGGAGGCTGAGGCAGGAGAATCACTTGAACCCGGGAGGCGGAGGTTGCAATGAGCTGAGATCATGCCACTGAACTCCAGCCTGGGTGACAGAGCGAGACTCCGTCTCAAAAAAAAAAACAAAAAAAAAAAACCCTCAAAAGCTCAGGCAGCAAAAGCAAAAATAGGCAAATGAGATCATAGCAAACTGCAAACCTTCTGCACAATCAAGGAAACAAACAGCAGAGTGAAGAGACCACCTACAGAATGGGAAAGAATATTTGCAAGCAAGAGATTAATCTCCAGAAAATACAAGGAGCTCAAACAATGCAGAGGTTTTGAAGGATGGTGATGAGAAGGTTCTGCTACTTACAGAAAGGAAGTTTAGGAGAAACAAAACCACAAACCTAGGTGGTGGGATGGCTTGATCTGCTTCTGTCTGTGACTCACTTAACAGTCTTAAACACATCTCCCTAAGCCTCCTTCCCCCGGTGGGATTCCTGGGTCTTGTGAGGACCTCATCGGTCCCTCTGGTAAACCCAGGCACAGAGTGGAGCAGCTCTTGTTTTCTCAGGATCTTCCCCTTCACATACAATTAACGCACCCACACGATGCTACTCTTAGAACCCTTCAAATAAATGTTTCCCGGTTCATTCACTACCAGAATCCAAGCTCAGCTTGTTCCCCAGCTTAGGACTGAGTGGTATCTTGGAGGTAGTTTCCACCATAGCCCCCTTCCTCTGCTATAAGGCTCAGTGACACACCAGAGACACCCCCTCCAGCCAGGCTCCTGGAAGGTCTGGATGAAGACTGGGATGCTGAGGCATTGCTCAGCAATGTGGCTTAACTCAAACTTCTATGTGAAACTTCCAACCACTTTCAGCAAGGGGTCACTTCCAGCGTCTTGGGGTGTGAGGGCACTTTGGTTGGTCCCTGCAATATCAGACCCTATAAAGATCCTACAAACATGTTGCAGACTCTTTGAAGATTCTGGCACTTTCAGACATGCTGTTGGGAAATGGTGACACCCATAACCTTCTAGTTCCAGGACAGGGAGCCTTAGCCCAGGGCTATGTTTTCTGAGGGTCCTCAAAGTAAACAGTTCTATGTGCCAGGAGAACCCTAAATCTCATATGGTTCTAAGGGCAGAAAGCCACACACGCACCGGCAAAAAGCAAGAGATTCAAGGAAAAGCTGAGCAAAGACAGACAGGAAAACACACACATGATGAGCCAGCTTGTAGAGCTAGAACTGAGATGGAGAGAGGCACGAGTGGGTAACAGAGTGTGCTCCCCAGAACAGGTGGAGAGAATGCCTTTTTCATGCCCTGAGGATAGGCTGGGTAAGGCTTGTGCTCGACAGTCAAGGACTATTTTTTTCCCCAGGCGTCTACAAGAGACCTTCCTTCTCAGCTCAACTGTGCCCTGCAGTAAGTAATGATGGAGAGAATGTGACTTTGCTCTGCAGCTCTGGAAGCTCATTTGACCTGTGCCTTCTAACGAGGAAGGTAAGGCCCCTGGACACTGGCTCACTGGGGTGCAGAGACAGAGTGGGGCATTCAGGCCAACTTCTCTCTGGGTCTTGGGGCTGGTGATGGGACCTCTAGATGCTGCAGCTCTCTGTCGATGGCTCTGCCTGTGAGTGATCAGCCCTAGATGACCACTGTTACTGGGGGTAGCCCATGCCTGCTGCATGCCCTGTGAAACACTAAATCATATAGCCACGTCTGAGGGACAGCCTGCTGGAGACATGGGAATCTTAGGGATTCCAGACAAAATGAAGCAATGAGAAACACAAAGAGGAAAAGAGAGGTTGAGTATGACAGTGGTGTCAGGGTGTAGGGTGGTAGACAGGGCAGCTCCACACTCTCCACTGCTTCCTGTCTGGAGGCCCACTTTGGGGTCCTACTTATCCAGGTGAGTGAAGGAAGAGGTCAGGACAAACACAGGAGGTGAAGCCAGATACAGTGTGGGGAGATAAGCAGTGGCCTCAGCCTCTAGCCCTTTTCCATCTTCCAGAAGCCCCTCCTGAGCTCTCATCACAGACAGATTTCCCATTTGGAAACCCAGATATTTATCATGCCGGGGGGGGGAGGCAATGTCTCTTGATTATGGGGACTTTCCATCACCAGGCACCTGCTAGTCCTCTCTATACCTTCCCTTCAGGAAAGGAATTGTCCCTCATGGGATTCCAGGGAAGAGACCCCAGGACCCCTATCAGTCACTAGGGAGATGACAGAGTAGAGGAAGTCAGGGGACCAACCCTCCACAGAGAATGGTCCTACTTCAGTGGGGTGAGGGAAACTCTCACTCATCCATTTGCTGTCCTGTTACCTCGGAACCCTAAGAGAACTTGTTAGTCACACACAGAATCTACCCCTGAATGTGGTGTGCAAAGTGGGGCTCTTAGCCTCCAGTGTGAAGTCCCTGGGAAGATGGAATGTCCCTGTGTGAGTGAAGGCTGTGCCACCGCCCAGCTATGTGGCCTTGGGCTAGGCAACCCCTCCCAGGTCCCCAGTTCCCCATCTGCATCGGAGACTGTGGCCAGTGCGGGAATCCACAAGGCCCTTCAGCCTCCAAAGCTCTGGGACAGAGGCCTCGTCCACAGGGAGGAAGGGGTCAGAGTGACCTGAGTCCCTACTCAGGAGCGAGTCTAATCCACTCTCCATCGGGGCCTGTGGGGAAGGGAAGATGAAGAAACGGAGCCTGCACCTGGCTATGTGGGCGCAGTAGATTAAGGGGAGGATGAGGGTTCCTGAGAGTGTGTCATGTGGCAGAGACCCTGCAGCACACTCAGGAAGGGCTCTGGAAGGATCCAAGGAAATTTTCCAAGAAGAGGGCAGAGTAAGTGACAGAGACCCTCAACCATGGATTTCACTGAGGTGCCCATGATGACATAGGGAGAACGGGGGTGTCTGGGCAGGAAGAATATCGTCAGGGTGAAATGAATGGTGATGAGCTTCGTGTCAGAGCTCCTGTGGAGGGAGGGGCCTGGCCCACATGAAAAGGTCTCTGATCCTACCCCAGCCCCCAGCCCCTGTTCTCCAGGATGACACTGTGGGAATTCCATCAGGAGGGGTGTGATAGGGCTGGTCTTCCTGGCTCGATTCACAACACTGGCTGGGGACTGGGAACCCATGGGGAGCCACAGGTGGAAAGGGAGGAGCCTCAGTGAACCCAGCAGGAACAAACATAGGGTCTGACATGATGGAACTCACTTCCTGGAGGCCAAGAAAGACACTTGCGGGACAAAAGGGAAAGAGCGGTGGCTTGCTTAGTTCCATTCACTGACAACCCACAGGAGATGTCCAGTCCTTTTTTGATTTATTATTTTATTTTATTATATTTTATTTTATTTTATTTTATTTTCACATGGAGTTTTGCTCCTATTGGCCAGGCTGGAGTGCAATGGCACGATCTTGACTCACTGCAACCTCCACCTCTCAGGTTCAAGCGATTCTCCTGCCTCAGCCTCCTGCATAGCTGGGATTACAGGCGACTGCCACCACAGCCAGGTAATGTTTGTATTTTTAGTAGAGATGAGGTTTTGCCATCTTGGCCAGGCTGGTCTCAAACTCCTGATCTCATGTGATCCGCCTGTATCAGACTGCCAAAGTGTTGGGATTACAGGCGTGAGCCACCACACCCAGCCTTTTGTATTTTTAGTAGAGATGGGGTTTCACCATGTTGGTCAGGCTGGTCTTAAACTCCTGACCTCAGGTGATCCATCCACCTCGGCCACCCAAAGTGCTGGGAGTACAGATGTTAGCCACCGTACCCAGCGAGAGTTTCAGTGCTCTATCGGATTCCCTGCCTACTCCATGTTGCATGTAATGTTCCACCTCAGGGATGTTTCTCTCCTTTCTGTCTCCTTCCTCTTCTCCTTCTCCTTTTTTCTTTCTAATTTTTATTTTTTTGAGACAGAGCCTTGCTCTGTTACCCAGGCTAGAGTACAGTGGCACGATCCCAGCTCACTGCAACCTCTGCCTCCTGGGTTCAAGAGATTCTCCTGACTCAGCCTCTCAAGTAGCTGGGATTACAGGCACCCGCCATCACACCCAGCTAGTTTTTGTATTTTTAGTAGAGACGAGGTTTCACCATGTTGGCCAGACTGGTCTTGAACTCCTGCCCTCAGGTAATCCACCCGCCTGTGGCCCCCCAAAGTGCTGGGATTACAGGCGTGAGTCACCACTCCCAGCCCTGAATGATCTTTCCTCTTTAGTGTGTTCTCACAACCACCTCTCACTGAGCTTTCTTGTTTTTTGTTTTTGTTTTTGTTTTTGTTTTTGTTTTTGGCAGAGTCTGGCTTTGTTGCCTATGCTGGAGTGCAGTGGTGCAATCTCAGCTCACTGCAACCTCCGTCTCCTGGGTTCAAGCGATTCTCCCACCTCAGCCTCCTGAGTAGCTGGGATTACAGGCACCCACCACCACACCCAGCTAATTTTTGCATTTTTAGTAGACACAGGGTTTCACCATGTTGGTCAGGCTGGTCTCGAACTCCTGACCTTGTGATCTGCCAGCCTCAGCCTCCCAAAGTGCTGGAATTACAGGCATGAGCCACCACTCCCAGCCCTGGATTATCTTTCCTCTTTAGTGTGTTCTCACAACTACCTCTCACTGCTGGGTTTTCTCTCTTTCTTTTTTTTTTTTTTTTTTTTTTTTTTTGAGACAGTCCGGCTTTGTTGCCCAGGCTGGAGTGCAGTGGCGCGATCTCGGCTCACTGCAAGCTCCACCTCCCAGGTTCAAGCGATTCTCCCACCTCAGCCTCCCTAGTAGCTGGGATTACAGGCGCATGCCAGCACACCCAGCTAGTTTTTGTATTTTTAGTAGAGACAGGGGTTTCACCATGTTGGTCAGGCTGGTCTTGAACTCCTGACCTTGTGATCTTCCTGCCTCGGCCTCCCAAAGTGCTGGGATTACAGGTGTAAGCCACTGCACCCAGCCAGCTTTCTCATTCTTATCCCTTAGTTCTCTGCCAGGGAATAAGATAGAAACCATTCCCTCAACCACATTCTAGTCATGGTCCCTATTCTCATGTTTCCACTTCTCTCTCTTTGGTAATAAATCAATTAATTGAGAAACAAGTAGCTAAATGTTCATCTTCTGCTAGTCTGCATCCCCTTATTTTCCCAGAGCCTCCCCTAATGAAACTGACTTTATTTACTGAACGCAGGAAATGGGTCTCTCCAGATCAGGATGACTTTCTGCTGGGAAATATTTGTCTTTGCATCAGTGGGGAAAAAGAAAGCCGATGTCATGAGTGGAGGCTCTGAGAAAATAAGGGCTGTGTTTTCAGTTTAGACCCAGCTAAGTTGGGAGCTGACATAGATATGATGTTGGGTCCACCCTCCACGGGCAGGTTTTCAGACAAAGGATCCCTGGCAATCAGGGGACACCTCAGGTCTGGGCTGAGATGTGTGCAGAGGGCCTGGGTCCTCCTGAGCCCCTGCACTGGGGGGGGAATAAGAGACAGGCCCAGCAAGGGGCTGTCCACTTCCTGTGGGTTCACAGCTGTGGGGACCCAGGCAGGCGGCAGCAGGCTCTGACTTAACCACATCCGTGCATCTGTCTGTCATGGAGGGCCATGTGGTCACCTGTCCCACAGCTGGAGCACGCAGAGCAGGCATCATGGTGTCCATCCTCACTGTTCTTCTGTGCCTCAGTCAGTGGTGGAGAGACGAGGGACAGGAGGGGCACTGGGCTGAGGTGGGGAGGGTCCCACAGCAGCCTTGTTCACCAGAGAGCCTCAGGGCTCCAGTGGCTACTGGTGCTCCAACAGGAAGGGAAGCAGCCACACCTCTGTGTTCCAAATCCCCCACAGGAAACTCTTCTCCATGGCTGAGTCTGGGCCAGAAAGCCCAAGCACTTGCAGGTGAGTCTCTGCTAACCTCCCATGCCTGACCTCACACTCAGCACCTGGACTCTCATCTCAGGGGCTTCTGAACTGAGGGTGAGAAAATCAAGAGGGTCTGTGACCTGAGCTGGGAATGAGGAGCGGGGGAGGTCTGTGGACCCCAGCCTGTGGTTTCTTCCAGGGACCCTCCCCAAACCCAGCCTCTGGGCTGAGCCAGGCTCTGTGATTACCTGGGAGAGCCCCATGACCCTCTGGTGCCAGGGGACCCTGGATACCCAGGGTTACTATCTCACCAAGGAAGGAAACCCCATGACCTGGTACCAACAGAGCCCACCAGAGCCCAGGAACAAGACCAACTTCTTCATCCCATCCATGAGAGAGCACCATGCAGGGAGATACCACTGTCACTATCTCAGCCCTGCAGGCTGGTCAGAGCGCAGCGAGCCCCTGGAGCTGGTGGTGACAGGTAAGAGGACACTCAGGGGTCCCAGCCCCAGGCTCTGCCTGCAGGAAGGGGGTCAGCTCTCAAGGGCATCTCCGTTCTAATAACTCAGCCCTGGGGGATGATGTGGGACGCGTGAGCCCCATTTAAGACAGTGTCTCCTTCTCTCCTAGGAGCCCACAGAAAACCCACTCTCTCAGCCCTGCCGAGCCCTGTGGTGACCTCAGGAGAGAACGTGACCATCCAGTGTAGCTCAAGGGTGGGATTTCACAGGTTCATTTTGATTGAGGAAGGAGAAAACAAGCTCTCCTGGATGCTGGACTCACAGGAACTCTCCAAGGGGCTGTCCCTTGTCCCTGGCCCTGTTCCCTGTGGGCCGTGTGGCTGCCAGTCACCGGTGGATGTTCAGATGCTATGGGCATTACACGAACTTCCCCTGGGTGTGGTCGGAACCCAGTGATACCATGGAGATCCTGGTCTTAGGTATGGATGTCTTCCTCCTTGCCCTATTTATTTTTGAGAACTTACTCTCACGGAGCCCCATGTAGGAGGGTGGAACAAGGGAAGTTTGGGACTCCTGAGCCCAGAGACACTGAGTGTGAGAGACAGTGAGACCTGCAGGGCCAGGAGGGGAGAAGGAAGGGGTGTGGGAGGAACCAGCCCTCCTAGTCCCGACTCTTCTTTCCCTCCAGGCGTGTCTAGGAAGCCCTCCCTCCTGACCCTGCAGGGCCCTGTCGTGGCCCCTGGGGAGAATCTGACCCTCCAGTGTGGCTCTGATGTCGGCTATGACAAATTCACTCTGTACAAGGAGGGGGGACATGACCTCGTCCAGGGCTCTGGCCGGCAGCCCCAGGCTGGGCTCTCCCAGGCCAACTTCACCCTGGGCCCTGTGAGGGTCTCCCACGGGGGCCAGTACAGATGCTACGGTGCACACAACCTCTCCTCCGAGTGGTCGGCCCCCAGTGACCCCCTGAGCATCCTGATCGCAGGTGAGGAGCCCAGCAGGTTCAGTCAGGGACCCAGGCTCCGCACAGGCCCTGCTGGGGGAGCCCAGGTGGTGATGGCCGGGATGAGGGGTGGGGGTCCTAAGGGACGGAGAGACAGACAGAGACAGGGGATGGGCGGGGAGGGGGAGACTCAGAGAAAACAGAGACAGAGACACTGAGGGTCCCAGGGAGAGGCCTGGGGAGGTGTCAGCTCAGAACGAGGTGGGGCAGCCCCTCACCCATCCTTCTTCTCTCCAGGACAGATCCGTGGCAGACCCTCCCTCTCGGTGCAGCCGGGCCCCACGGTGGCCTCAGGAGAGAACGTGACCCTGCTGTGTCAGTCACGGGAGCAGTTGGACACTTTCCTTCTGACCAAGGAGGGGGCAGCCCATCACCCACTGCGTCTGAGATCAGAGCACCAAGCTCAGCAGCACCAGGCTGAATTCCCCATGAGTCCTGTGACCTCAGCCCACGCGGGGACCTACAGGTGCTACAGCTCACGCAGATTCTTCCCCTACCTGCTGTCTCACCCCAGTGACCCCCTGGAGCTCGTGGTCTCAGGTGAGGCCGCTGACCCTGTCCTCTCTGAGCTCAAACCTCAGCTCAGGCCCTGCCCCCAGGAGAGCTCAGGACGCTAAGGAAAGAGGGGAGTAAAGGGGGAGGGTCGGCAGGGGAGGGCCCAGCCCATGAGAGGGTGGAAATAGTCAGGGACCTCCTAATCCTGGGCTCCCACCCCAGAGACCTCAGATGGGGCTAAAGGCCAGGGAGGGCTGAAATGAGATATGGAGAAACCTTGGAGGAATCATGCTTAGGCTGAGGGTAGAAGATGGAGGCCCCACCCACTCCCCACCTGGGCTCCCCTGGCGGCCCCAAAATACTCAGTGCATACCTGAGACGAAGGGGAGATCATGCACCTGCTCACTGCAGCAATGCAGGCAAATTATTCAACAGCAAACCTCGTGTGCAATTCCTTTCTGTCCTTTATTTTTTATGTCCACATATCTAGTTTCTCTTTCTGTTTCTGAAGATTTCAAAGCAATGCTGGCATTTATAATTTACACATTTAATTTGTTAGGTAGCGTTATGATGTAAAATAACTGTGCTCTGATTTTCTTTGGGATTAAATTAAATATGTGCATTCATGATGGAGAATAACTTCTCATTAATAATGTCTTTGTATCCAATACATTTAAAATTAAACTTTATACAGTTAGCAGATGCTTGAAGTTGTATTCATAAAAATTGTGGACATTGTGAATTTTAAGCATTGTTTTACTACTTGAATAATTTGAAAGTCTTTGATTCCTTTCTATTTTCTAAAATTAGTTACGTATGGATGAGAAAGCTATTGGTTTGGGTATGCTAATTTTAGTTCCTATTAACTTACCACAGACACACTCCCTTTCAATCCTTTCCGAAATGATCTCTTCTGATTTATTGATAATAATTACATTAACCACAAGAAAATGGAGGACAAACTTGTTTGTTTCTAAATTATATAATACTCTTCTCACTTCAAATATATATGTATGTGTTTATATATACTCACACACTATTATATATCTTATAATATATATTATGTATTATATATTTATATATACACTATTATATATCTTATATATTATGTATTATATATTTATATATACCCACACATTATTATATCTTATAATATATATTATGTATTATATATTTATATATACCCACACATTATTATATCTTATAATATATATTATGTATTATATATTTATATATGCACTATTATATATCTTATATATTATGTATTATATATTTATATTACCCACACATTATTATATCTTATAATATATATTATGTATTATATATTTATATATACACACACTATTATATATCTTATTATATATTATGTATTATATATTTATATATACTATTATATATCTTATAATATATAATGTATTATATATTTATATATACACACACTATTATATATCTTATATATTATGTATTATATATTTATATATACATACTATTATATATCTTATAATATATTATGTATTATATATTTATATATATACACTATTATATATCTTATTATATATTATATATTTATATATGCACACACTATTACATATCTTATTATATATTTATATGTATACACACACTATTATATATCTTATTATATATTATGTACTATATATTTATATATACTATTATATATCTTATAATATATAATGTATTATATATTTATATATACACACACTATTATATATCTTATATATTATGTATTATATATTTATATATACATACTATTATATATCTTATAATATATTATGTATTATATATTTATATATATACACTATTATATATCTTATTATATATTATATATTTATATATGCACACACTATTACATATCTTATTATATATTTATATGTATACACACACTATTATATATCTTATTATATATTATGTACTATATATTTATATATACTATTATATATCTTATAATATATAATGTATTATATATTTATATATACACACACTATTATATATCTTATATATTATGTATTATATATTTATATATACATACTATTATATATCTTATAATATATTATGTATTATATATTTATATATACACACTATTATATATCTTATTATATATTATATATTTATATATGCACACACTATTACATATCTTATTATATATTTATATGTATACACACACTATTATATATCTTATATATTATATATTTATATATACTCACACTATATCTTATAATACATATTATGCATACACATATGCATAATACATATTATCTATACACATATGCATAATACATATTATGTATACACATATGCATAACACATATTATGTATACACACATATTTACACCTATGCATATATGTATGTATGTATGCGAATGTACCTCTGCCACGGCAGGGAAAGGTTCTATCACACAACTACAGAGCAGTTAGGAGAAGTGTAGACACAAAGGAATGCAGCAACTGAGGGACATGTTGGCTTAAGTCTCTTCAACTCCTCACACACCTCCCCCTTTTTTGGTTGATTCTCAGGAGCAGCTGAGACCCTCAGCCCATCGCAAAACAAGACAGACTCCAAGACTGGTGTGTAAGGAGATGCTCTCGGTTATGGGGCTGGCACAGAGGGTCAGGTCCTGTGAAGGGGAGGTGGGTGCCCTGGGTGGACATCCAGGGGTCCCGGGTGATGTTGATCTGCCCTGACCTCTGAGACCTCTTGGTCCACCATCCCCAGCCTCACACCCCCAGGATTACACAGTGGAGAATCTCATCCGCGTGGCTGTGGCTGGCTTGGTCCTGGTGGTCCTCGGGATTCTGCTGCTTTAGGACTGGCACAGCTAGAGAAGTCCCCAAGATGCAGCAAGGAGGTAAATACATGAGAGAACAATGCACCCTTCAGAGTGCCAGAGCCTTGGCAATGAATCTGATAGTCCTAGGAGGTTCTGGAAGAAAGTCTGGACCATCATTCGGGAAACCGTCTACTGAGAAAGTCGAGAAGGGGAGGCTTGGGTCAGGTTCAGGAAGATGTCTGGGTGCCTGTAGAGAACGCTTCCTCCATTAAACTTCCATTAAATGGCAGTGCTTTCAGTCCTGCTGTTGTGGATCCTCCGTGTCTGCCCCTCCCTTCCTTTCGCTCTCTGTGATGTGAAGGCACGTCCCCCATGGTGGGTTTGCATCCACACCCCTGCGATCACGTGCTCTGGTCCACTGTCATGTAATACATTTGTCTTTGTTTCCAACTACCGCATTCTCTAAAGTGAACTATTGATTCTCCATCTTTTCAGTTCTGAGCATAGATCTGGATTAAATAACTGGAATAGGTGGGCAGATTTGTATTTGGGACTTTGAAACATGAGTCTGAGGCCAGGCACAGTGGCTCACACCTGTAATCCCAGCACTTTGGGAGGCTGAGGTGGGCGGATCACTTGAGGTCAGAAGTTCGAGACCAACCTGGCCAACATGGTGAAACCCTGTCTCTACTAAAAGATACAAAAATTAGCTGGGTGTGGCAGTGAGCACCTGTAATCCCAGCTGCTCAGGAAGCTGAGGCGGGAGAATAGCTTGAACCCGGGAGGCGGAGGTTGCAGTGAGCCAAGATCTTGCCACTGCACTCCAGCCTGGGCAACAGAGCAAGACTCCATCTCCAAAAAAAAAAAAAAAAAGGGAAATATGAGTCTGAAATGATGCCCTAGCACCCTCTCTGGACCCTGAATTCCCTTCACTCTTCATCGGATGATACCTGTGTACTTTGTCCAGAAATATCATCTCTCAGAATGAGCACACTAACGCTCGAAGGCTCAGCCTCATGGTATTCTGTTAAACTGGCTCTCTGAAAAAATTATTTTCTTAAGAAAACTCTGAACATATAAAGCCCCAGATTTATGGTATTTGCTGATTAGTGTGGTATAAATACGTCCTTTATGGCCAACTTCAGGGTGCCCATATGACGCCATTGAATGCACAGTTGGGAAGTAGTCAAAAGAATTGTCGTTCACACGAGTATGAACCAGTTGTAAAGTTTATTTAAAGGTTATAATAATTTCTGCTTCATTCTTATGGTGTAGTTTCAGTAAAATTGTAATGTCAAAAATCATAGCACAATGGAGGGAAAAGAAAAAAATAGGCCGGGTGTGGTGGCTCATGCCTGTAATCCCAACACTTTGGGAGGCCGAGGCAGGAGGATCACCTGAGGTCAGGAGTTCGAGACCAGCCTGGCCAACATGGTGAAACGCTGTCTCTACTAAAAATACAAAAATTAGCCAGACATGGTGGCGCCTGCCTGTAATCCCAGCTACTTGGGAGGCCAAGGCACGAGAATCGCATGAACCCAGGAGGCGGAGGTTGCAGTGAGCCGAGATCACTACAGCCTGGGTGATAGAGCAAGACTCAGTCTCAAGAAAAGAAAAAAGTAGCAAAATCATTTTTTGGAAAGAATATTGAACATGTAGAATTTTAGTACATTAATAGTAAGAGTACAAATTGCTTTAATCAATTAAGGAAGTGTATTGGAATTATCTAGTTAAAAAGAGGAGGCACATGGCTGTGACCCTTCTTAATTATGTACTTAATTATGTACCCTAGAGATAAATGTCTACTTATGTGTCATGATACACTCACAACTGTTATAGGAATGCTGTTCCTATTAGCCAAAGCTATAAAATACCAAAGTCCACCTACGAAAAAAATAAACATAGTGTGGTAAATAGACTCAGTGGAATATTACAAGGTAGTAAAATGCATAAATGAAAATAACAAACAGCACCATACTTCAATTTTCAAGCATAAAGTCAAGTAAATGAAGTATTATTTGAAAATGTGTGCATGGTTATTTCATTACATAAAGGTCAAAAGGAGGGTACATTTATTATTTAGGAAAACACACCTAAGATATCTTTGTAAAATCTGTAAAATCAATAGTACTGTTTCCCCTCTTTCATTCCTTATCTTGAAAATGCTTGTCTCTTTTTCTGCCATGGCTTTCTACCTTGCTTGATATATTACAATTTTGTAACCTGCTTATTTCATCATATGTCATAAGTTCACATGTATATCCCATGAATTATTGAGGGTCTTATTCATTTCAAGTGGCATTTAGGTTTTTAAAAATATCTTTTGGCGACCAGGTGCAGTGGCTCATGCCTGTAATCCCAGCACTTTGGGAAGCCAAGGCAGGTGGATCACGAGTTCAAGAGACAGAGATCATCCTGGCGAACATGGTGAAACCCCGTCTCTACTAAAAATACAAAAAAAAAAAAAAAAATAGCTGGGCATGGTAGAGGGTGCCTGTAGTCCCAGCTTCTCAGGAGGCTGAGGCGGGAGAATGGCATGAACCCGAGAGACGGAGGTTGCAGTGAGCCGAGATCGTGCCACTGCACTCCAGCCTGGCAACAGAGTGAGACTCTGTCTCAAAAAAAAAAAAAAAAGAAAGAAAGAAAGGAAGAAAAAAAAATCTTCTGGCATTAACTATTAAGAAATTGCACTATAAAAAGAGAATATAATGCATAAGACGGCAATTTGAAAAGATTCAGATATAATTTTTTCTTATCTAGTAAATACTTAGTAATTTGTCTAATGCATGCCTTAAATACATACCACTTTATGCAGAGGTTGCCATGAGCCGAGATCGCGCCGTTGCACTCTAGCCTGGGTGGCAGAGCAAGACTCCATCTCAAAAAAAAAAAAGAAAATCTCACAGAAGGAGACCCAGAGCTTCCAGCCTCGCCCAGAGTCTTGGCTCACTCCCTGTGTGTGTGGACCCTAGGGAGCCTCTTCTGTTCCCCACAGAGGTGGAAACTTCCTCCTTAATAACCCCTTGATGGTCCCAGGCACTGGTGACCACTGAGCTTTGCTCTCTCTTTTTTCTTATGGTTCCCTGTCTACTTCCAGGGCTATCACTTTACTTTTTGTGCATTAGACCATGAATAATGTTTTAGAAACATTCTATCAAATTTCTCAGTGCTAGGAACAACTGAGGTTTTTGATTGGGTGCCTCAAATGTCTACCCTTACTGTGGAGTCCGACAACAGGATTCTAACAAGTCCCAACCCCTTCATGCCTTAACCTGGTCTGGAAATAAATTATGTTTAAGCCATCCCATACCCCAGCCACATCAAGCCCCACAACCACTCTGAGAAGTGAGATTTATAGCAAAATGCTCCAAACAAGGTAACTAAGGTTCAGACAAGGGATGTTAATGTGTCCATTTACATAAACAAAAAATGGTAGATGATCAGCTTTCCCTTTGAAATCAGAGTACTAATCTGACTCATTGTTCCCTGAATTTTAGAGGCAGGACCTCAGGAGGAGCTAAGAATCCTACCCCAGGAAAATTACCAATATCAGAAAGGAAACAATGACATCAGTACAGATCCTACAGAATTCAAAAGATTCTAAGTGGACATTATGAAGACATTATTCAGCTTAGATGAAGTGGTCACATATCACAAGAAAACAAACTGTCTAAAACAATCTCTGAAATACCTAGACATTCCCTGAATCATTGAGTTATTAAATAAAATACATTTTAAAATTAAACTCTTTTCAGGAAATAAACTTCAATGTCCCCTAGTGCACTCTCCAAAACATGTAGATGGGAATAAATACTGTTCTGAAAGACATTTCCCTGGAATTACAACCATTCAATATATTTTAAAAGGCAATCATAAAAATATAAAAAGGATATATCAGGAGAAGAAATGTAAATGGCCTAAATTCCCCACATAAAAGGCATAGAGTGGCAACGTGGATAAAAAGCCAAGAGCCAACTGCCTGCTGTCTTCAAGAGACCCATCTCACATGTAATGACACCCACAGGCTCAAAGTAAAAGGATGAAGAAATATTTACTAGGCAACCAGGAAACAAAAAAAAGGAAGGCATTCCTATTCTTATATCACATGAAACACACTTTAAATCAACAGCAATCAGGAAGGACAAAGAAGGGCATTACAAAATGATAAAGGGTTCAATTTGACAGAAGACTTAACTATTCTAAATATATATGCACCCAAATTTGGAGCACCCCGATTCATAAAACAAGTTATTCTTCACCTATGAAAAGAGTTAGACAGCCACACAATAATAGTAAGGGACTTCAGTATCCCACTAACAACGTCAGATGAATCACTAAAACAGAAAACTAACAAAGAAATTCTGGTCTTAAAGACAACACTTGACCAATTGGACCTCATAGACATCTACAGAGTACTCCACCCAACAACTGCAGAATATAGATTCTTCTTATCTGCACACACAAAAAACATATCATATTCTAAGACTGGCCACAAAGCAAGTCTCAATAAATTCAAAGAATCAAAATCATAACAAGGCACACAATAAAAATAGAAAAAAATACCAAGATGATCTCTCAAAACTACAGAAAAACATGGAAATTTAACAACTTGTTTCGGAATGAATATTAAGAGCCATCTATGACAAATCCACAGCCAACATCATATTGAATGGTCAAAAGCTGGAACTGTACCCCTTGAGAACTCTTGGGTGAACAATGAAATTAAAGCAGAAATCACAAAACATTATTTAAAATTAATAAAAATAGAAACAAACTTACCAAAACCTTTGGGATGCAGTTAAAGCAGTGATAAGAGGAAAATTTATAGCAATACATGCCTCATCAGAAGTTTAGAAAGATCTCAAATTAGTGACTTAACACTGCATCTAGAGGAACTATTAAAAAAAAGGAACAGTCCAAACCCAAGGCCAGCAAAAGATGAGAAATAACTAAAGTCAGAGAGAACTGAATAAATTGAGACCAAAAAGTCCATACAAGAGATAAATAAAACCAAGAGTTTTTCTTTGAAAAAAAAAATAAACAAAATTCATAGACTGTTAGCTAGATTAACAAAGAAAAAGAGAAAAGATCCAAATAAGCACAAATAGAACTGACAAAACAATGTTACGAACAATCCCACAGAAATAGAAAAGATTGTCAAAGACTATTATGAACACCTCTATACAAACAAGCTAGAAAACCTAGAAGAAATGGATAAATTCCTGGTAACACAAAATTTATCATATTTCAACCAGGAAGAAAGTGAAAACCTGAACAGACCAATAACAAGTTCAGAAATTTAATCAGTAATAAAAACCCTACTAACTAAAAATAGCCCAGGACCAGATGGATTCACAACCGAAATCCAACAGCCATACAAAGAAGAACTGATACCGATCCTACTGAAACTTTTGGAAAAAATCAAGGAGTGGGGGCTTCTTCCTAACTCATTCTATGAAGCCATCATCACCATGATACCAACATCTGTCAGAGACATAATGAAAAAAAGAAAACTACAACTAAATATCCTTAATGAACATAGACACAAAAATCCTCAACAAAATGCTAGCAAATTGAATCTGTCAGTGCATCAAAAGTTAATTCACATGATCAAGTAAGCTTTATTTTTGGGATGCAAGGTTGGTTCAACCTACAAAGTCAACGAATGTGATTCACCTCATAAACATAATTAAAAACAAAAACTATATGATCATCTCAATAGATGCAGAAAAAGCTTTCTGTAAAATCCAACATCCCTTCATGATAAAAACTGTCAATAGGCATCAAAGGAACATACCTCAAAATATTAAGAGCCATCTATGACAAACCCACAGCCAACATCATATTGATGGGCAAAAGCTGGAACCATACCCCTTGAGAACTGAAACAAGACCAGGATGACCACTCCCGCCGTTTTAATTCAACATGGTACTGGAAGTCCTAGCCAAAGCAATCAGGCAAGAGAAGGAAATAAAAGGCATTAAAATTGGAAAAGAAGTAGTGATACTGTCTCTCTTTGCTGATGAAATAATTTTATACATAGAAAACCCTAAAGACTCTGTCAGAAGGCTCCTGAAACTGATAAACAAATTCAATAAAGTTTCAGGATTAAAAAAATGTACACAAATTAGTAACATTTCTATGCACCACTAACATTCTAGCTGAGAACTAAATCAAGAACACAATCCCATTTACACTAGCCACAAAGAAAATAAAATACCTAGGAATCCATCTAACCAAGAAGGTGAAAATTCTCTACAAAGAGAACTACAAAACACTTCTGAAAGAAATAAGAAATGATACAAACAAATGGAAGAATATTCCATGCTCATGAATTAGGAGAACAAATAGTTAAAATCGCCATACTTCCAAAAACAAATTGCAGACTCAATGCTATCCATTTCAAAATGCAATGTCATTTTTCACGAAATTATAAAAATTTATTCTAAAATGTATTTGGCACCAAAAAAGAGCCTGAATACACATAGGAATCCTAAGCACAAAGAACAAAGCCCAGGCATCACATTACCCAACTTCAAACTATACTACAATGCTATAGTAACCCAAACAGCATGATACTACTACAAAAACAGACACATAGACCAATGAGACAGAATAGAGAACCCAGAAATGAGGCTACATACCTACAATCATCTTTGACAAAATTGACAAAAACAAGCAATGTGGAAAGTACCCTTTCTTCAATAAATAGTTCTGGGATAACTGACTACTCATATGCAAAATAATAGAACTGGACCCCTAACTCTCACTATATACAAAAATTAACCCAAGATAGTTTAAAGATTTAAATGTAAAACCTCAAAATATTAAAATTCTAGAGGAAAACCGAGGAAATATCCTTCTCAAGATAGACTTTGGCAAAGAATTTATGGCTAACTCCCCAAAACCAATTGTGACAAAGACAGAAATTGGGACCTAACTCAACTGAAGAGCTTCTGCACAGCAAACGAAAGTATCAACAGAGTAAACAGATAACCTACAGACTGGGAGAAAATATTTGCAAACTATGCATCTGACAAAGTTCTAATATCCAGAATCTATAAGGAATGTAAACAAATCAACAAGCAGAAAACCAAAAAACCTCAATTAAGAATGACATGAACAGACACTTCTCAAAAGAAGATGTACACATGGCCAAAAAACATATGAACAAATGCTTATTATCAGTAATCATCAGAGAAATGCAAATTAAAACCACAGTGAGATACCATCTCACAACAATCAGAGAGGCAGAAGCAATTACTAAAAAGTTTTCTGTTTTTTTTAATAACAGCTGCTGACAAGATTGTGGAGAAAAGGGAACACTTATACACTCTTGGTGGGAATGTTAACTAGTTCAGCCAATGTGATAAGCAGTTTGGAGACTTCTCAAATAACTTAAAATAGAACTACTATTCAATCAAGCAATCCCACTACTGGGTATATACCAAAAGGAAGGTAATTAACTATGTCAAAAAGACACATGCACTAGTATATTCATTGCTGTGCAATTCAGAATAGCAAAGATTTGCAGTCAACCTAAGTGCTCACCAACAGTGGATTAGTTAAAGAAAATGTGCTACATATACACATGGAACATTACATGGCCATAAAAAATAATGAAATCATGTCCTTTGCAGCAACATGAATGTAGCAGGAGGTCAATCTCCTAAGTGAACTAACCCAGGAACAGAAAACCAAATACCACATGTTATCACTTATAACTGAGAGCCAAACATTGAATACACATAAACATAAAGATGGAAACAACAGATACCGAGGACTACAGATGGGGGGAGGAGTAGGGAGGTATAGGCTGAAGAAACACCTGTTGGATTCTATGCTCATTGCCTGGGTGATGGCATTGTTGGAACCACAAACCTCAGAGTCACACAATATGCCTATGTAACAAACCTGCATGCGTACCTTTAATCTACAGTAAAGGTTGAAGTTATTTAAAAATAGGAAGAAGAATTACCCTATACCTAAAGCTAAGATTTTTCCCTTTGAATATTTGTTTCTTCATCACTGTAGATAAGCAGGGAAAGAAAAATTATTATACTATACTAGCCTTTTATGTGACCATGAGGATTTGGGGTAGGTAGGTGGACAGCTTAGATAATTCACCAGGATATTGATACAGGCTCCATGGCTGGAAATAACCAAGGATGAGTGCTGTGTTTTGAGTGGTCTCCCCCAGAAACGTTTGTTGAAATCCTAACCCCTGGTATGTATGAATGTGAATTCATATTATATAAAAAGGAATAAATAGCCTGAGCACAGTGGCTCACACCTGTAATCCCAGCACTTTGGGAGGCCAAAGCAGGTGGATCATTTGAGGTCAGGAGTTCTGGCCAATATGGCAAAACTTCATCTCTACAAAAAAAAATACAAAAAAAAAAATTGGCTGGGTATGGTGGCGCATGCCTGTAGTCCCAGCTACTCAGGAGGCTGAGGCAGGAATTGCTGAAACCTGGAAGGCAGAGGTTGCAGTGAGCCAAGATCATGCCACTGCACTCCAGCCTGGGTGAGACGGCAAGATATTCTGTCAAAAATAAATAAATAAAAAACAGAAGAAGAAATACAAGAATGACAGCAAACTTTGTATTCAAAACTATGAAAGTAAGAAATAGGTGGACCAACATTTTTAAAGTGCTACAAGAAAATATTTCAAACTAGAATCTTTCAACCTGAAAAGGAAAACATTTTCCTGCAATAAAGGTGCCATTAAAAATGTCTCACAATTTATTACATGAAGCATTGTTCTACAATAAATGTTAAGCTCTTGAAGCAAAGATTAATGATACCATTTAGTAACTTGAAATTCAAAAAAGTGGAAGTATCCCAAGAGGCAAATACGTGTGCAATTATTAAATGTTTCATATCAACACCCAACCTTATGCTGTCTACATAAGCTGCACTTCAAATACTAATCCACAAGATGTAAATATTGAAAGAATGACATTACATTGTCATGATAATGCCCAGTGCAAAATATGCTTCTAGTCAGTTGTATACATAGAATAGGTAAATGTTTGTAATAAAAAGTATTCCTCAATAGAAGTTTCTTAACTCAAAGAATGAAATATTTCAACATGCACATACAAAGAAGAGATATATGGAGATATGAAGAGGAGTACTTCATAATGACAAAGAGGCAAATTCATAAATAAGACATAATAATCCTAAATGCCTACACACCTAAAGCTGGAACCTCAAAACACATTAAATTAAAGGCATAATTCAAAACATAATCAATCACATCCAAATTGCAGCTAGAGATAGCAACATTCACCTCACTTCCAGAACAAGTACACAGAAAATTATTAAGCATATGAAAGACTTGAAAAACATTTGTGTAGGCGGCAGGTGCATAAGGTTGGGTGTTGATATGAAACATTTAATAATTTCAATAATCCTAGCACTTTGGGAGGCCAAAATGGGAGGATCACTTGAGGCCAGGAGTTTGAGACCAGCCTGGGCACCATAGTGAGACCCCGTCTCTATTTTTTTTAAATAAAGAAAAACATTTGAATGATTTTTTTCTTAACTGACATTTAGAAAACATCCACCTCAAATCTTCCTAATCCACAAACTTGTCTAGCACCCCTGGAACATTCACCAAAATAAATTTTTAAATGCTGAATCATAGGTAATATGATAGATGAAACAGTTGAATTAAATTATAAATGTACAACAAGGAAATGCTGGGGAAATTATCAAATATTTTAAAATTAATAAACACACATAGCAATAAACAATGAGTGGAAGAAAAACATTTCAAAGAAAGGTGGAAAATATTTTGTATCAATTAAAAATGAAAACACATCTCGGCAAATGACTGGGGATACAGATAGAACAGTGTTAAAGGAAAATAAGCCTCAAATGTCTGTGTTAGAAAAGAAGGAAGAGCTGAGTAAATAGGTAACTTTCGCTTGCAGAAATACTACACATCAGCAAATTAATTCCAAAGTAACGTCGAGGAAAAACATAAAATGGCAAGCAAATATATACGTGCATATGTACGTATATTCATAAATGACAAACAGGACAGAAAAATCAGTGACATCAATTTTGTTCCTTAGAAGAAACAGGAAAATTGACCCCAAAAAACTTTCCAGGCCACATTTGGTCATGATGGAAATATTTTGGCACTTCCTGGTTAAGCTCAACACCAACTTGCACCCAAAACCAATAATTTCATTCCTAGGTAAATATGTCTAATTAATTCAGCATATGTATGCAAGGGATCACACAGAAACACGATTATCAAGGCCCGAGTTATAAAAGAGAAAATCCGGAAACAACACAAATGTCCATGATAAAAAGAGTGGATAATTACATGTTGATAAAGTTATGTATGGACTATTAAACTGCAATCCAAAAGAATAAAATAGAGCTATAAAATTCAATATGTATATGGTGTCATAGAAACACAAATGTGAGAAAAAGAAAGAAAAATACAAAATTTATATTTTTTAAAATTTGAAACAACTATATATGTGAGTGCTTAGGGTGTGTGTGTGTGTGTGTGTGTGTGTATAACCATATGTATATAAATGCACACATACGCACACATATAGAATGTCCCGGCCAGGCATGGTGGCTCACACCTGTAATCTCAGCACTTTGGGAGGCTGAAGTAGACAGATCACTTGAGGTTAGGAGTTCAAGACCAGCCTGGCCAACATGGAGAAACCTCCTCTCTACTAAAAGTACAAAAATTAGGTGGGCGTGATGGTGGGTGCCTGTAAATCCAGCTACTTAGGAGGCTGAGGCACGAGAATTGCGTGAACCTGGGAGGTGGAGGCTGCAATGAGCCGAGGTCTCACCACTGCATTCCAAACTGGGTGACGAAGTGAGATTGCGTCTCAAAAAAAAAAAAAGTTCTAAAAGTTGTGACTTGGGTGTGGCAGATTGTGACATACTGCCAGCTGCTAGAAATGCTGGGGCAGGAGGATTGCTTGAACTCTGAAGTCAAAGAACAGCCTGGGGAAAATAGCACATGAAGAAGAGTTTGAATCTCAGATAAAAACAACAAAAATACATCAAAAGTCTTTAATGTAAGCCAAGCATTCAGTCATCTCCTGTATGAGAGATTGGATCTGAGACGTGTTTTGAGTTGGTTATAGTGAAGGATGCAAGGTGTCAATTCTAGTTGGAACAATTTCCAGGAAGCCATGTTCCGCTCTTGACCAAACAGCCACTGGGCCTCATGCAAGGTAGAAATAGCCTGCATACGTCATCCTCCCATGATGTGGTCAGCATGTAAACTGCATGAGCCCCTCACAACATCCTGTGTGCTGCTGAACTGAGCTGGGGCGCAGCCGCCTGTCTGCACCGGCAGCACCATGTCGCTCATGGTCGTCAGCATGGCGTGTGTTGGTGAGTCCTGGAAGGGAATCGAGGGAGGGAGCGCTGGGGTGGAGATCTGGGCCTGGAGTGGAGATCTGGGCCTGGAGTGGAGATATGGGCCTGGAGTGGAGATATAGGCCTGGAGTGGAGATATGGGCCTGGGGTGGAGATATGGGCCTGGAGTGGAGATATGGGCCTGGAACTGTAGATATGGGCCTGAAGTAGAGATATGGGCCTGGAGTAGAGATATGGGCCTGGAACTGTAGATATGGGCCTGGAGTGGAGATATTGGCTTGGAGTGCAGATATGGACCTGGAATTGAGATACGGGCCTGGAGGTGGAGATATGGGCCTAGAGTGGAGATATGGGCCTGGAGGTGGAGATATGGGCCTGGAACTGTAGATATGGGCCTGGAGTAGAGATACGGGCCTGGAGTGGAGATGTTGGCTTGGAGTGCAGATATGGGCCTGGAATGGAGACACGGGCCTGGAGGTGGAGATACAGGCCTGGAGGTGGAGATATGGGCCTGGAGTGTAGATATGGGCCTGGAGTAGAGATATAGGACGGAGGTGGAGATATAGGCCTGGAGTGGAGATATGGGCCTGGAGTAGAGATATAGGACGGAGGTGGAGATATAGGCCTGGAGTGGAGATATGGGCCTAGAGGTGGAGATATGGGCCTGGAGTGGAGATATGGGCCTGGAGGTGATGTACAGATGGATCATCCATCATGATCTTTCTTTCCAGGGTTCTTCTTGCTGGAGGGGCCCTGGCCACATGTGGGTGAGTCCTTCCCCCAAACCTTAGGTTGTCATCTCCCCACATAAGATGATGCTCCTGAAACGGGAGGCAGGCGACACAGGGGGTTGACTGATGGGCTGACCATGGGAAGCCATGTGGGAATCTCTCATGAACTAGGAAAAGGAAGCCAGGGGAAGCTTCGCCACAGTTCTGTCCTAGCCCTCCCCGGCCTTTCTTTCCCTTGGCTGAGTCTGTGGGGACCCAGGGGGAGACTGAAGTGCTCAAAGGAGTGGTGTGCAGGGAGGAAGTGGTGTCACCGGCAGAGGAAGGGAGAGAAGCAGTGCAAGGAACAACAGGCCTCTGAGGACAAGAGCATAACTCACACCCTCCAGCGTTTCCATGACGGTAGGGGCTGCAATGTGGCTGCTGTCATTCTACCTAAGAGGTGGGGGAACCACAGTCATGACCCTGACATTCCAGATCTTCTAATAGGGGCTCAGTTGTTTATTATGGTTCATGCATTAGCTGATCATGCCCTCCATCCTGTGTCTACCTTGTGTTCTTTTATGTAAGTAATTTTGCAGTGTTAAAATCTAGTAAGAGTCGCTTCTTCAGCACCTGCTCAAAGTTCTCAGCTGACACTTGCTGTAGGGAGACGCCATGTCTATGCGGGATGGGTCCTTCCTGTAGCCCTGGGCACCCAGGTGTGGTAGGAGCCTTAGAAACATGGAAATGGGAGAATCTTCTGAGCACAGGGAGGGAGGGGCGGCTCCACATCCTCCTCTCTAAGGTGGTGCCTCCTTCTCCCCCAGGTGGTCAGGACAAGCCCTTCCTCTCTGCCTGGCCCGGCACTGTGGTGTCTGAAGGACAACATGTGACTCTTCAGTGTCGCTCTCGTCTTGGGTTTAATGAATTCAGTCTGTCCAAAGAAGACGGGATGCCTGTCCCTGAGCTCTACAACAGAATATTCTGGAACAGCTTTCTCATGGGCCCTGTGACCCCAGCACATGCAGGGACCTACAGATGTTGCAGTTCACACCCACACTCCCCCACTGGGTGGTCGGCACCCAGCAACCCTGTGGTGATCATGGTCACAGGTCAGAGGCTTTCTGTCTGGGCTTCTCACTGTCCCACCTCCTGAATCCCAGAGCTTCTGGTGGGGGCGTCCATCAGGGTCCAATCATCCAGGCCCCGACTGTATTTGGGGTAAAGGGGGATTCAGTACAGAGAAATAGTTGCTGTGGTGGGAAGAATAATTGTCCCCAGTGATGGCTACATGGTAATCCATGAACCCTGTGACTATTTATGTTTTAGGGCAGGGGACTGAAGAGGAAGATGGAGCTCAGGTTGTTGATGAGTTGACCTTGCGATGGGGAGACAGCCTGGACTGTCCTGCTGTGCTCAGAGTAATCACAAGGGTCCTCATGAGAGGAGGAGGAAGAGGAAAGTGGGGTTAGAGCAACGTCGTGGGAGGGAGACTCCATCAGCCACAGCAGGCTTTGAAGATGGGGGAAGGCCATGAGCCACAAAGGCAGGTGGCCTCTAAGGGCTGGAGAAGTCAAGGGAACTGATTCTTCCCTGAGTCTCCAGAGGAAACACAGCCCTGCAGATGCCTTGATTTTAGCCCAGAGAGAACTGGGTCCGATTTCTGTTCTCCAGAAGTGGAAGGGGTCATTGTATTCTCTCCTGCCCCATGTTTGTGACAATTTTCTCCAGCAGCAACAGGAAACCAACACAGGAACCCAGGTGAAGCACAGGTTAAGAAACCAAACAAGGAGAAGTTTGGCTACACTGATTTTAGCATGGGTGGGATACTGATGCTACCACCAGGCTCGATCCACATAGGGAGGGGTTGATGCTCCTGGAACCAGCACCAGGGGCCACCCTATGGAAGCTGGGGCCATGGAGAAGGCACAGACATGACAGGAGAGGCTCCCAATCCCCATCAGGAACAGGGACACTGATGCCTGCCTTACTGATGAGTTCGTACCTCCTGCCAGCCTTTCCAATCTGTCCAAAAGAGATTGATTCAGGCTGCTAAGAGCCTGGACATGCAGCCTGTCGTGGTTCCTCTTCCACCCCCACATAAACACCAGGAAAGAGATTAGTGGGAAACAGATACAACAGCATAAGAGGTGACACTGAGCACAGTGGGAAGGGAATCAGGGCTACTAGAGACAGAGAGACAGGGAAGAGGGAGGGAGACAGATGGAGGGACCTGCAACAGGGGTTATGGGCACAAAAGAACACGGAGACACAGAGAGGAAGGAGAGAGATAGACACCATGGAGGGGAAGCCTCACTTATTTCAGGTCCCATGAATGGGATGAGAAAGGGAGACGCCTTCTGAACTCACAACCTCTCTTCTTAGGAGTCCACAGAAAACCTTCCCTCCTGGCCCACCCAGGTCCCCTGGTGAAATCGGGAGAGACGGTCATCCTGCAATGTTGGTCAGATGTCAGGTTTGAGCGCTTCCTTCTGCACAGAGAGGGGATCACTGAGGACCCCTTGCGCCTCATTGGACAGCTCCACGATGCGGGTTCCCAGGTCAACTATTCCATGGGTCCCATGACACCTGCCCTTGCAGGGACCTACAGATGCTTTGGTTCTGTCACTCACTTACCCTATGAGTTGTCGGCTCCCAGTGACCCTCTGGACATCGTGGTCGTAGGTGAGAGAATACAGACCTGCCTCTCACCCTTGCTGGGAGATGGAGTGAATGATCTAGGACTGGAAGCCCCAGGTGGTCATGAGGAAGATGAGTGTGGGGTTCCTATGGAGAGAAAGTGACTTGGTGAGGTCTGTACCAACAAAGGCAGAGAAACAGGAGACACAAGTACAGACCTCATGTCATAACATAGAAGCCAGACACAGGGGCCATACAAGGTGTTAGAAAAAGAGATAAAGAGGTAAAGAAGACACAGAGAGACAGATATATCCCAGAGAGAGGTGTCCTTCTATGCTGACTTTGTTCAGAGACCAGGCACAGGTTAGAAGGTTCCATTCTGTTTTACCTCTACAAAGTGTTCTCTCCCAGGAGAACCCAAAGAGACACATCTATCTGGCCTGAGTTGGGCCGTGTGGCCCCAGGCTGGTGGCACCTACAGATGCTGTGTTTATTCTTAAACCTCTGCCTTCCGTGCAGTGGAGCTGTCGTCGTCGCAGGACACCATGGCCCCAGGTGAGGGAGCAGAACACCAACCCCTGTATGTTGTGAGTTCCTGGAGTCCCCATACTGGATTCTGAGGCTCATATTCAAATAGCACCACATGTTATAGGATTACTGAGAACAAAAGCCCACAGAGAGACACGGAGTGAAATCAGGGAAATCAAAAAGCAAAGACATGAACACACACACAGAATGAGCCAGAAGAAGGGAATTGAGAGACTCACAGACACATAAAGAGATAGAAAAAGAGGGCAGAGAAGTGGAGCGTATGATGGAAGGAAGCAGAGAAAAGCCCTAAAATCAGAGCCCTGAGGGAGGGGCACAAAGACAGGGAAAGATAAAGATGTGGGGATGGATTGCAGAGACTCCAAAAGGGAACTAGAGAGACTGAGAGGCAGAGAAAGACAAGGAGATGGAGAGAGACAGATGATAGATGGATAGATAGATACAGATAGATGAAAGATAAAAGGTAGATGATAGATAATAGAGAGACAGGTGATAGACAAATAGATGATGAATGACTGATAGATGATATAGATAGACAAGTAGAAAGACAGACAGATGATATATAAATAGATATAGAGAGATAGAAAGACAGATAAACACATGATGATAGATGGATAGATGCATACATACATACATTGATTGATAGATGATAGATAACAGAGAGATAGGTCATAGATACACAGATGATGATAGATGATAGATACATACATAGATAAATGATAGATCGATCAATAGATAGTAGATAGAAATATGCAGAAAGTTATGAGCAAGACAGAAAGTGAGAGACTCAGAATTAAAGAAAGAGGAAGATCAAGTCAACCAGTCCAAGGAGGGTCAGAGAGAATAAAATGGTACAAAAAAAGAAAACATAGCTAGGGATGGAGAAGTGAGGTCAGAGACCTAGAGAGACAGAGAAGGTGGAAGGAGGAAATAGACATGAAGAGAGATGGGGGTGGAGGGTGAGAGAGAGAAAGAGAGCATTAAGTCATAGAGCAGGGGAGTGAGTTCTCAGCTCAGGTGTGAGGAGAGCTGTGACAACGAAGAACCTCCCTGAGGAAACCACCTCTTCTCCTTCCAGGTCTATATGGGAAACCTTCTCTCTCAGCCCAGCCGGGCCCCACGGTTCAGGCAGGAGAGAATGTGACCTTGTCCTGCAGCTCCCGGAGCTTGTTTGACATTTACCATCTATCCAGGGAGGCAGAGGCCGGTGAACTTAGGCTCACTGCGGTGCTGAGGGTCAATGGAACATTCCAGGCCAACTTCCCTCTGGGCCCTGTGACCCACGGAGGGAACTACAGATGCTTCGGCTCTTTCCGTGCCCTGCCCCACGCGTGGTCAGACCCGAGTGACCCACTGCCCGTTTCTGTCACAGGTGAGAAAACACCATGCCTGTCCCATGTCTTGTGATCCTAGAGCCATAGCTGAGGAGCTTCCTGCTGATGATGGAGAGAAGCATGGACAGATGCCGAGACAGAACACACAGCATGGGTGTAAGGGCGGGGTCAGGGGGCAGGATGGCAGACAGGGCACCTCCAAACCCTCCTGTATGGCCTGCAAGGAGGCCCTTGATCAGGGTTCCAGGCACCCAGGCAGATGGAGAAAGAGGTCAGAACAGACCCAGAGGAGGGAGACTGGGCTCTGCCTGGGGAGATCAGAGGTTCTCTCAGCCCCTCAACCTTACCCACTTCCCAGAAGCCCATCCTGGCCTGTCACCCACAGAGAGATGTCATCACCAGCAACGCCTACACCCTTTTCTTTTTGTTTGAAGAAATATTTATTGAGGTGAAATATACCTATGTAATTTACCACCTTTACCATTTTTAAGTGTGAAGTCTACTGTTCATAAATACATTTATAGGCTGGGCACGGTGGCTCACTGTTGTAATCCCAACACTTTGAGAGGCCAAGGCAGGTGGATCATTTGAGATCAGGGGCTCAAGACCACCCTGGCCAACATGGGGAAAATCCATCTGTACTAAAAATACAAAATAATAATAATAATGATAATAATTAGCCGAGCATGGTGGCACATGCCTGTAGTCCCAGCTACTTGGGAGGGTTGGGCAGGAGTTGCACTTAATTGCAGGAGGCGGAGGTTGCAGTGAGCTGAGATCATGCCACTGCACTGCAGCCTGGGCAACAGAGAGAGACACTCTCTCAAAATTAATTAATTAATTAATTAGTATTCTTTTTTTTTTACCCTCCACCCTTCCCTTCCTGGCCTCTGGTAGCCACCATTCTACTCTCTACCTTTGTGAGATCCACCTTTTAGCTCCTGCATATGAGTGAGAAATGGAAATACTTGTAATGACCTCCAGTTCCATTCATGTGGCTGTAAATGACAGGATGTTACTCTTTCTATGGATGAGTTGTCCCTATTGTGTGTGTGTACCACATTCTCTCCATCCATTCACCCACTGATGGGCAGGTAGGTTGATCCACATCTTGGCTACTGTGAACACTGCTGGAACAGTCATGGGAGTGCAGATGTCACTTCGATACGCTGATGTCCTTTCCTTTGGGTTTACACCCAGTCATGGAATTGCTAGATCCTCTGGAAGTGTCTTTTTACATTTTGTTTTATGGTTTTTGTTTTTGTTTTTGTTTTTTTTAGACAGTTTCACTCTTGTTGCCCAGGCTGGAGTGCAGTGGTGCCATCTGGGCTCACTGCAACCTCCACCTCCAGGATTCAAGAGATTCCCCAGCCTCAGCCTCCCAAGTAGCTGGGTTACTGGCTCCCACCACCACACTCGGCTAATTTTTATATTTTTAGTAGAGACAGAGTTTCGCTATATTGGCCAGGCTGCTCTTCAACTCCTGACCTCAAGTGACCTACCCACCTCGGCCTCCCAATGTGCTGGGATTACAGGCATGAACCACTGTGCCCGACCTCATTTTATTTTTTGAGGAACTTCCATACTCTTCTCCTCTGTAATGGCTGTACTAATTTACATTCGTATCAGCAGTGTACCAGATGCAACCCTGGTTGACTCAGCAGAGCAAGAGACGTGCAGTAAGAGAGAATTTAGCTTATTTATGCACACGACACTTCCACTCACTCACTCGTTCAGCCAATGCCCCATGCTCTGGCTGTGCAGTGTGGAATCTTTTCCTATTGTTGCCATAACAAATTTCCACAAGCTTCGTGGATGAAAACATGTTTTTCTTAATTATCTCACAGTGCTGTAACTCAGAAGTATGAACTGCATTTCACTGGGCTGATATCAAAGGGAGAGTAAGGCTGGATTTCTTTTTAAGGTTCCAAGCAAGAATCTGCTCCTTAACGTTTCCCAGCTCCTAGAGGCTCCCACGTTCCTGGGCCCCTGGTCCCCTTCCTCCTTCCTCCTTCCTCAAAGCCCACAAAGGCTGGTCACGTCTCACATGGCATCATTCAGACTCTTCTTCTTTACCCACACCTTTTTCTCTGAATCCTGCTCTGCCTTCTTCCTCATCTTTTAAGGACTTTGGGATTCTATTGGGGTCACCAAGATAATCCATCTCAATCTCCCTAAAATCATCCAGCGTACCCTCTTTTTAAGTTCAGCTGATTAGCAACCGTAATGCCATCTGCAATCTTCATTCCTCCTTTCCTGTAAAATAACATATTCACAAGCTATGGAGGCTAAGACAGGGACATTTTGGGGGTGGGGCAGCATTCTCCTGCCTTCCACAAATGGTAAACAGGATGCATTTGGCCTCTGCTCTTGGGACACTGATATTGCAGATGGGTAAATGCGAGGGCAGAGAATGAATGCACAAGGGTACCAATAAATGAATGATCCATTGGGAAGCATCTGTGCACCAAATCTGGGGTTTTTTTTGTGTGTGTGTTTTTTTTGTTTTCTTTTTTTTTTTGAGTAGAGTCTCTCTTTGTTCCACAGGCTGGAGTGCAGTAGCACAATCTCAGCTCATTGCAACCTCTGCCTCCTGGGTTCATGCAATTCTCCTGCCTCAGCCTACCGAGTAGCTGGGATTACAGCTGTGCGCCACCACACTCGGCTAATTTTTTTGGTATATTTTTTAGTAGAAATGAGGTTTCACCATGTTGTGCAGGCTGTCTCAAACTCCCAATCTCAAGTGATCCCACCGCCTTAGCGTCCCTAAGTGCAAAGATTACAGGCGAGAGCTACTGCGCCCAGCCAGGATTTAAAATAAGTAATAGATAATGCTGAGTATATAATTTCAGGTGACAGAGAAGGTCTCACTGATCAGATAATATTTGTGACCTTAATGGAAAAAATGGATTCAACCCTTGGAAGATTGGCGGAAGGATTTTCCACACTGAGCTCTCAGCCGTGAAGGCACAAAGGTGGAAACATTCTTAGTTCAAGGAAGAGGCTCTGCCTCAAATGCTGGGAATGAAGTGGGGAGAATGACAAGACAACTGTAGAGAGATGGAGAGCACACTGGGTACACAGGAAACTAAGGAGGAACAAGGAGCGTGTGTTTGATACTCACAGCCATTGGATTCAACTCAGAGCTAACTAGGAATCCCTACCTGATTAATAGTGACCGACATGAAAATAAGGGAGGCCCAGGTGCGTAACTGGAATCTAGGAGACGGTGGAAAAGGCAATTCCCGCCCCACTGGTGAAACGTAGGGTTGATTTACACACTAAATGAATGAAAGATGGATATAAGCTATGCTTGTGAGGTAGAATCATTTGCAGGGAGGGCTTGCTGGGTTTGATTTTTCCTAGTAGTTTAATCCTTGTTTCATTAATTTCTTTCTGAGATGTGTTTTTTTTCTACATCTAAATCAATACCTGGCAGAGGAGTGATAGACACATGAGGGGTGGTGCAAATGAAGGGACCTAGTATAATATAATATACAAGACTGTGGATGGGGGCTCACACCTGTAACCCAACACTTTGGGAGGCCAAGGCGGGTAGATCACTTAAGGGTAGGAGTTTGAGACCAGCCTGGCCAACATGGTGAAACCCCGTCTGTACTAAAAATACAAAAATTAGCCTGGTGCATTGGCACCTGCCTGTAATCCCAGCGACTGGGGAGGCTGAAGCAGAAGAATGGCTTCAACCCTGGAGGCAGAGGTTGAACTGAGATCGCATCACTGCACTCCAGCCTGACACAGGGGGACTCTGTCTCAAAAAATAAAAATAAAACATACATAATTATGACACACAGAAATTACAAAGGCAACTGGATACCAACCATCATTTTTCTATTTCTCTGTGTTTAATTCTTTGACCCTTTATCTTATCCATTAAACAATCAGGTTAAACCTCTTCCTTATTTGGCTTTCTGTGAGCTTGGGATCATATGGAAAATGTGAAAGCCTCCTGAACCCACCAGCACAGGTCCTGGAATAGAGAACGTGCTCTGTTCATGGCATAAAACTTGCCACTTCACCCAAATCCCCCAATTCATCTCTACTTCCAATCACCTATGGAGATACAGATAGATCATGGGGAGGTAAACACTAATACTCTTTGGAGTGAGCTCAGATCTTGGACTCAGAGACCAGTGCCAGCACTAGCCCCTGGTCACATTTCGTACTAACTCACAGAAGGACAGGCTGTATTGAAACAATAAACGACGGAGAGGGCGGTCCTTCCCCGTGCTTCTCGGGTGGAATAGCAGCCTAATATATGTCTCAGCAGATCACAAAAAGTAGCATGTTGTTCCTGGGCTACATCATTATTTCATGGCTGTTTGATTTAAGTCAGTTCTACTTCACTTTTTTTATCTTGATTTCATTTTTTCTTTCTTTTCTTGGAGAATGTAATTTTTTTGAGTCAAGAGGGTTGTGGTGGTAGAAACTGTAAAGCACATTCGCTGTGTATCAATCCCAATCCAGTCTTCCCAGAGAAGATTCTAAACACCTCCTGGAATGCACCTGGGCCTATACCAATTCCTATCACTCACCGTCACTCCAGGGAGACAGAACACACAGAGAACACATTACACAGGCAGGTTCATTACTAACAGATAAGCAGCGAGTGACAACAGAAACCTACATTTCAATGTGAGCCAGTCCCTCAAGGCTCAGAAAAGCTGCTCGAGACATGTGGAGTCACCCCATATGCAGTGTATCTGGGGGAAATCAAAAAGCAGCCCAGCCTGGGTTTTGTACCCTGGAGCCACAGGAAGCACTCAGCTAAAGCACTGCATGACGTCCTCCTCCAGGAAGAACAGGAAGACAGCCCAGGCTGTTCTGGGATGTTCCTCCTGATCTCAGGACGTTGCTGTCTTAGTCCATTTTTGTTGCTCTAAAGGAACACTTGAGCCTGGGTAACTTCTAAAGACAAGAAATGTGTTTGCCTCACAGTTCTGCAGGCTGTACTGGAAGCATGGCACCAGCATCTATTTCTTGTGACGGCCTCAGGCTGCTCCCACTCTGGCAGAAGGGAAGGAGGGTCTGTCTGTGCAGAGACCACAGAGATCACACGGCAAGAGAGGGACCAAGGGGGAGGGGGAGCGATGGAGCTTCCAAGCTCTTTTAACAACCAGTTCTCCAGGAACTAATAGAGGGGGAACTTGCTAACCCCGTCTCCTTGGAACAGCATTGATCTGTTCATGATGGATCCACCTCCATGACCCAAACAACTCCCAAGAGGCCCAACCTCCCACTCTGGGGGTTACATTTCAATGTGAGGTTTGAAGGGGTCAAACATCTAAACTAAAGCAGTTGTATCCTCAGCACGTTCTATGGTTACTACAACTGAGAAAGCAGGAGGAAGCTAGGTCTCCCGCCATCTGGGTGCTTGTCCTAAAGAGACGTTGTATGTGGTTACCTGTCAATCAAGAAATGTGAGACAATTCATATAGAGGAACTGCTATGATTAGCTTCTTATTGGTGTCTTGTCTTCCTCCAGGTAACTCCAGAAACCTGCACGTTCTGATTGGGACCTCAGTGGTCATCATCCCCTTTGCTATCCTCCTCTTCTTTCTCCTTCATCGCTGGTGTGCCAACAAAAAGAGTAAGTCTCACGAAGCAGAAGCCAGAGAGCTCAGGGCCATGTGGGGAAGCAGGATGGGAGCACTCAGGTGTGTGTTCCTCACAGACTGGATGGTCCCTGGCCCAAGGCAGGAGCCACAGAGGCAGGACTTTCTAGAGAGAGCACCAGACTCCCTGCCTCTGCCTTCAGCTCACAGACCATTGCCTGATTCTGAACCGTATCCTCACATCCCCTGCAGCCACTCACATCCAGGAGAAGGTTCCATGACAGGCAGAAAGTGGGACACAGAATCAATAGGATGGGAACTCAGAGCTATACATGGGATGGATCCTTGAGCTCAGAGAGATAGAATGTCTGAGTCTGCTGTTGGCAACTGAGGGACCTCAGGCACCTATGGCCTCCCCCTGTATGTTGGTATCTGCTTATGAAATGAGGACCCAGAAGTGCCCTCCGAGCTGTTTTGACGACTTCCGTCTTCTACAGATGCTGTTGTAATGGACCAAGAGCCTGCAGGGAACAGAACAGTGAACAGGGAGGTAGGTGCTCCTCCGCCCAGCCTCGTGGCTAGTCTTATTCCCAAAGAGTCCTGGAAAATGTGAGCACCCTCCCTCACTCAGCATTTCCCTCCCTCCAGGACTCTGATGAACAAGACCCTCAGGAGGTGACATACGCACAGTTGAATCACTGCGTTTTCACACAGAGAAAAATCACTCGCCCTTCTCAGAGGCCCAAGACACCCCCAACAGATACCAGCGTGTAACACGGAACTTCCAAATGCTGAGCGCAGATCCAAAGTTGTCTTCTGTCCACTAGCACCACAGTCAGGCCTTGATGGGATCTTCTAGGGAGACAATAGCCCTGTCTCAAAACCGGGTTGCCAGCTCCCATGTACCAGCAGCTGGACTCTGAAGGCGTGAGTCTGCATCTTAGGGCATCGCTCTTCCTCACACCACGAATCTGAACATGCCTCTCTCTTGCTTACAAATGTCTAAGGTCCCCACTGCCTGCTGGAGAGAAAACACACTTGCTTAGCCCACAATTCTCCATTTCACTTGACCCCTGCCCACCTCTCCAACCTAACTGGCTTACTTCCTAGTCTACTTGAGGCTGCGATCACACTGAGGAACTCACAATTCCAAACATATAAGAGGCTCCCTCTTAACACGGCACTTAGATACGTGCTATTCCACCTTTCCTCAGAGTATCTTTCAGCCTTCTGTCAGCAGTAAAACTTATAAATTTTTTTTATAATTTCAATGTAGTTTTCTATTCTTCAAGTAAACATGTCTGCCCTCATGGTTTCTTCAATGGGACTCTTTTCTTGCCTAAGGCTTCCGGTGTTATCATTACCACGTCCACATAACCCCATCTGTTCTCCGCTGGGTTCTCAGCCCTGGACTCTGAGCTTCTGGAAGCATGGTGGAGCCTGAATTGTCTCTGAGACTCCAATTTCCATCCAAAGATGCAGCACATAGGAGGTTCCAAGGATGGTGAATCAGATGAACAAGTGATATTCTTACTCTCTGCAGATCTGGAAAGCTGGCAGAGTCATTCCACGATGAAACATTTGTAGAGTCATAGGCCTTGTTAGTCTCATCTCCACAGGGACACGTATCAACACATCATCTTTCATACTACTATAAATAGACAGTCACTCCTCCATATCTCTGGGGTTTACACATGTTTATTGAATCAGCAATAAATCAAAAATATTTTGAGAAAAAAAATCCCCGAAGTTTCAAAAAGCAAAAAACTATGTTGAATCGACACAAATTGAGTGGCGTGTAGGCTGTGTCAGGAATTATAAGTAATCAAGAGATGATTTCATGTATACAGGAGGATGTGCATGGGTTCTATGCAATTGCTATGCTATTTTTTTTTTTTTTTTGAGACAGTCTCACTCTCTCACCCAGGCTGGAGTGCAGTGGCGTGATCTCAACTCACTGCAACCTCCGCCTTCCAGGTTCAAGCGATTCTCTTCCCTCAGCCTCCCCAGTAGCCTCCCCTAGGATTACAGGCACGTGCCACCATGCACAGATAAATTTTTTTGTGTGTATATTTTTAGTAGAGATGGGGTTTCAGAATGTTGGACCAGCTGGTCTTGAACTCCTGACCTTGTGATCTACCCAGCTCAGCCTCCCAAAGTGCTGGGATTACAGGCGTGAGCCACGGTGCCCAGCTTCACTATGCCATTTCATGCAAGGGGCTTGAGCATCTGCAGATTTTGGTATCTGAATGGGGATCCTGGAACCAATCACCCAGGTATAGTGAAGGACCATGGTATATAATTTTTATTTGTCAATCTTAAAAATAAAGCATAAAAAATTTACAACAACAAGATAAAAAATAAGAAGTGTTTTTATAGTGTGAGGATAAGTTTAGATTTATTTTTTCCTACGTGTAACCCTATGGTCCTGTGTTATTTGTTGAGAAAATATTCTATTCCACCTTAAACTACATGGCAGCCTTTGTCAACTATAAAGGGACTGTGTATCCACAGATGTATTTTAGACACAGTTTTCTGTCCAGTGGTTCTCTGTATCCCCTCTCATGAGGATGCTGCATTTTATATAAACTTATAGAACCCCTTAAAATTTGGTAACCTGAGTCCTCTGATTTGTTATTATAGGTTATTTAGTTTGCTTTTTTTTTTTTTCTTGAGACAGACTCTTCCTCTGTCACCCAAGCTGGAGTTCAGTGGCTTGAGCTCAGCTCACTGCAACCTCCGTCTCCCAGGTTCAAGCTATTCTGATGCCTCTGGTTTAGTAGTAGAAACTCAAGCAGGAAAATTAGAATGGCTTCTTGTCACAATTACTCTGATAATGTTAATAATACCTGTTAGACATTTTGCACATTACATATGAAGAAGAGTTTGAATCTCAGATAAAAACAAAAATACATCAAAAATCTTTAATGTAAGCACAGAATTCAATCATCTCGTGTATGAGAGGTTGGATCTGAGACGTCTTTTGAGTCTGGTCGTAGTGAAGGACGCAAGGTGTCAATTCTAGTGAGAACAATTTCCAGGAAGCCATGTTCCGCTCTTGAGCGAGCACCCACTGGGCCTCATGCAAGGTAGAAAGAGCCTGCGTACGTCACCCTCCCATGATGTGGTCAACATGTAAACTGCATGGGCAGGGCGCCAAATAACATCCTGTGCGCTGCTGAGCTGAGCTGGGGCGCGGCCGCCTGTCTGCACAGACAGCACCATGTCGCTCATGGTCGTCAGCATGGTGTGTGTTGGTGAGTCCTGGAAGGGCATCGAGGGAGGGAGTGCGGGGATGGAGATCGGGGCCCAGAGTTGGAGATATAGGCCTGGAAGTGGAGTTATGGGCCTAGAGATGGAGTGATGGGCCTAGAAGTGGAGATCTGGGCCTGGAGTGGAGATCTGGGCCTGGAGTGGAGATATGGGCCTGGAGGTTGAGATATGGGCCTGCAGTAGAGATATGGGCTTGTAGTGGAGACATGGGCCTGGAGATGGAGATATGGGCCTGGAGATGGAGATATGGGCCTGCAGTAGAGATAGGGGCCTGGAGTGGAGATATGGGCCTGGAGTGGAGATATGGGCCTGGAGTGGAGATATGGGCCTGGAGGTGGAGATATGGGCCTGGAGGTGGAGATATGGGCCTGGAGTGGAGATATGGGTCTGGAGGTGGAGATACGGGCCTGCAGTAGAGATATGGGCCTGGAGTGGAGATATGGGCCAGGAGTGGAGTTATGGGCCTAGAGGTGGATATCTGGGCCTGGAGTGGAGATATGGGCCTAGGAAGGAGATATGGGCCTGGGTGTGGAGATATGGGACTGGAGAGGTGATATGGGCCTGGAGTGGAGATATGGGCTTAGGGTGGAGATCTGGGCCTGGGGCGGAGATATGGGACTGGATTGGAGATAGGGGCCTAGGGTGGAGATCTGAGCCTGGATTGGCGATATGGGCCTAGGGTGGAAATATCAGCCTGGAGTGGAGATATGGGCTTGGGGTGGGGATATGGGCCTGGAAACTGGGTCTCTGCACAGCCGACAGCCCTGTTCTTGGGTGCAGGTAGGCACTGAGGGTGAGTTTAACTTCAGCCCAGGAAGGGCCTGGCTGCCAAGACTCACAGCCCAGTGGGGGCAGCAAGGGAGGCCTGGTTTGCCTGCAGATGGATGGTCCATCATGATCTTTCTTTCCAGGGTTCTTCTTGCTGCAGGGGGCCTGGCCACATGAGGGTGAGTCCTTCTCCAAACCTTCGGGTGTCATCTCCCCACATAAGAGGATTTTCCTGAAACAGGAGGGAAGTCCTGTCGGGGAGTCTCTCATAAACTAGGAAGAGAGGACCCTGGGGTGCTCAGCCCACATTTCTGACCTCGCCTCCCTGGCCTCTCAACCCCTTGGCAGAGTCAAGTTCTGTGGGGACCAGGGTTAGACTGGGGTGCTCAAAGCTGGGGTGTGTGGTTGGGAAGTGGTAGGAACAGCAGATCCTCTGAGGACAAAGGTGTTACTCACACACTTCAGCGTTTCCATGATGGTAGGGGCTGCAGTGTGGCTGCTGTCATTCTACCAGAAGAGGTGGGAAACCACAGCCATGGCCCTGACATTCCAAATCCTCTGATGGGGGCTCAGTTGTTTATTTTCGTTCAGGCATCCGCTGATATCCATTCACAAAGGACATGCCCTCCACCTCATGTCTACCCTGTGTTGTTTTATGTGAGTAATCTTACAGTATTAAAATCTAGTAGGAGTCTCTTTACTCAGCACTTGCTCAAAGTTCTCAGCTGAGGCTTTTGTTGTAGGGAGACACCATGTCTTTGCGGGATGGGTCCTTCCTTCAGCCCTGGGCACCAAGGTGTGATAGTAGCCATAGAAACGTGGAAAGCGAGGAGAATCTTCTGAGCACAGGGAGGGAAGGGCAGTTCCACATCCTCCTCTCTAAGGCGGCGCCTCCTTCTCCCCAAGGTGGTCAGGACAAGCCCTTGCTGTCTGCCTGGCCCAGCCTTGTGGTGCCTCTAGGACATGTCATTCTTCGGTGTCACTCTTATCTTGGGTTTAACAACTTCAGTCTGTAAAAGGAAGGTGGGGTGCCTGTCCCTGAGCTCTACAACAGAATATTCTGGAACAGCCTTTTCATGGGCCCTGTGACCCCCGCACACACAGGGACATACAGATGTCGGGGTTCACACACACACTCCCCCAGTGGGTGGTCAGCACCCAGCAACCCCCTGGTGATCGTGGTCATAGGTCAGAGGGCTCCTGTCTTGGATTCTCCTTGTCCCACCTCCTGAATCCCAGAGCTTCTGTTGGGCATGTCCTTGAGGGTCCCATCACGCAGGCCCTGACTGTATTTGTGGTAAAGGGGGATTGAATACAGGGAAATGGGTGCTGTGGTGGGAAGAATAATTGTCCCCAGTGATGACTACATTCTAATCCCTGGAGTCTGTGACTATTTATGTTATAGGGGAAGGGACTGAAGGGGAAGATGGAGCTCATGGGGAGACAGCCTGGACTGTCCCACTGGGCTCAGTGTAATCACAAGGGTGCACATGAAAGGAGGAGGAAGAGGGGAGTGGGGATTAGAGCAGTCCAGTGGAAGTCTTCACCAGCTTTGAAGGTGGAGGAAGGCCAAGATCCATGAATGCAGGTGGCCTATAGAGGCTGGAAAAGTCAAGGAACTGATTCTCCAGAGTCTCCAGAGGGAACAAAGCCCTGCAGATGCCTTGATTTTAGCCCAGGAAAAATAGGGTCCAATTTCTGTCTCCAGTACTGGAAGGTGTCAGTGTGGTCTCTCCTGCTGCCATGCTTCTGATAATTTTCTACAGCAGCAACAGGAAACCAACACTGGAACCCAGGTCAAGGACAAGTTAAGAAACAACCCAAGGAAAGCCAGGCATGGTGGCAGGTGCATGTAATCCTAGCGACTCAGGAGGCTGAGGGCAGGAGAATCACTTGAACCCAGGAGACAGAGGTTGCAGTGAGCCTAGACCACACCACTTCACTCCAGCCTGGGTGAAGGAGTGAGACTCTGTCTCCATAATTAATTAATTAATTAAAGAAACCAAACAAGGAGAAGGTTGGCTACCCTGAGATCAGCAAGGGTGGGATGATGATGCCACCACCAGGCTCCATCCACATAGGGAGGGGTTGATACTCCTCCAACCAGCACCAGGAGCCAGCCTATGGAAGCTGGCACCATGGAGAAGGCACAGGCATGGCAAGAGTGGCTCCCAGTCCCCACCAGGAACAGGGTGTGTGGACACTGGTGCCTGCCTTATTCATCAGTTCATACCTTCTGCCAAGGATTGCAATTCATCCAAAAGAGATTGAACCAGGCTGATAAGAGCCTGGATGTGCAGCCTATCCTGGTTCCTCTTTCACCCCCACATAAACAGCAGGAAATACATTAGTGTGAAATAGATACAACACCCCAAGAGATGAGGCTCAGCCCAGTGGGAAGGGAATCAGAGGCTACTAGAGACAGAGGGACAGAGAAGAGGGAGGGAGACAGATGGAAGGACCTGCACCAGGAGTTAAGGGCACAGAAAAGAACATGAAGACACAGAGAGGAAGGAGAGAGACAGACACCAGCAAGGGGAAGCCTCACTCATTCTAGGTGCCATGGATGGGATGATAAAGAGAGACACCTTCTAAACTCACAACCTCTCTTCCTAGGAGTCCACAGAAAACCTTCCCTCCTGGCCCACCCAGGTCCCCTGGTGAAATCAGAAGAGACAGTCATCCTGCAATGTTGGTCAGATGTCAGGTTTCAGCACTTCCTTCTGCACAGAGAAGGGAAGTTTAAGGACACTTTGCACCTCATTGGAGAGCACCATGATGGGGTCTCCAAGGCCAACTTCTCCATCGGTCCCATGATGCAAGACCTTGCAGGGACCTACAGATGCTACGGTTCTGTTACTCACTCCCCCTATCAGTTGTCAGCTCCCAGTGACCCTCTGGACATCGTCATCACAGGTGAGAGTGTCCGGACATTCTCATTGTCATTGGGATGCAGAGTGAATGATCCACGACTTGGAACCCCCAGGTAGTTGTAAGGAAGATGAGCTTGGTATTCTTATGGAGAGAGACTGACTTGCTGAGGTTTGTACCAACAGAGACAGAGAAACAGGAGACACAAGTACAGACCAGGTGTCATAACAGAGGACAGACACAGGGGCCATACAGGGAGTTAGAAAAGACAGAAAGAGTTAAAAGAGACAGACAGACAGACATGTCCCAGAGAGAGGTGTCCCTCCATGCTGACTTTGCTCACAGACCTGGCACAGGTTAGAAGTTTCATTTCTGTTTTACCTCCACAAAGTGTTCTCTACCAGGAGAACCCAAGGACACCCATATTTATGACCTGAGTTGGGCCCTGTGGCCTCAGGCCTTGTGGCACCTACAGGCCATGTTTATTCTGACACCTCTGCCTTCCATGTAATGGAGAGTAATCGTCCCAGGATATCATGGCCCCAGAACACCAACCCCTGTATGCTGTGTGAACTTGTGGTCTCCAGACTGGATTCTGTGGCTCACATTCCAAATAACCCCACATATGAAAGGATCACTGAGAGGCACAGAGAAAAATCAGGAACACCAAAAAGCAAAGACATAAACACACAGAGAATGAGCCAGAGGAAGGAGATTGAGAGACTCACAGACACATAAAGAGAGAGAAAAGAGGGCAGAGGAGTGGTGAGAATGATGGCAGGGAGCAGAGAAAAGCACTAAAATTAGAGTCCTGAGAGAGAGGCACAAGGACATAGAAACATGGAGATGTGGGGATGAATTGCAGAGATTCCAAAGAGAACTAGAGAGACCGAGAGGCAGAGCAAGACAGATGATAGATGGATAGATATAGATAGATGATAAATAGGTAGATGATAGATAATAGGTTAAAGATACATAGATGATGATTGATTGATTCATTAATAGATAATACATAGAGATGATGATGATGAAGACAGATAATACGTACAGATAGAGAGGCAGACAGAAATCATAGAGAGAGAGATGATACATACATATAAATAACAGATGATTGATGGATAGATAGACAAGTGATAGATACATAGATGATATATAGATATAGATGACAGGTAGAGAATTTGTAGATAGGCACCGAATAGATAAATAGATAGATCGACAGATAATAGATAGAAATATGCAGAAAGTTATGAACAGGACACAACGTGAGAAACTTAGAATTTAAAAAAGTAACATCAAGTCAACCAATCCAAGGAGAGTCAGAGAGAATAAAAGAATCCAAAAAGGGAAAACATATCTAGAGGTGGGGAAGCGAGGTCAGAGACCTAGAGAGACAGAGAAGGTGGAAGAAGGAAATAGACATGAAGAGAGATGGGGTGGAGGGTGAGAGAGAGAGAGAGAGAGAGCATTAGGTCATAGAGCAGGGGAGTGAGTTCTCAGCTCAGGTGAAGGGAGCTGTGACAAGGAAGATCCTCCGTAAGGAAAATGCCTCTTCTCCTCCAGGTCTATATGAGAAACCTTCTCTCTCAGCCCAGCCGGGCCCCACGGTTCTGGCAGGAGAGAGCGTGACCTTGTCCTGCAGCTCCCGGAGCTCCTATGACATGTACCATCTATCCAGGGAGGGGGAGGCCCATGAACGTAGGTTCTCTGCAGGGCCCAAGGTCAACGGAACATTCCAGGCCGACTTTCCTCTGGGCCCTGCCACCCACGGAGGAACCTACAGATGCTTCGGCTCTTTCCGTGACTCTCCATACGAGTGGTCAAACTCGAGTGACCCACTGCTTGTTTCTGTCACAGGTGAGGAAACCCCATATCTGTCTCATGTCCTATGATCCTAGAGCCTTAGCTGAGGAGCTTCCTGCTGATGATGGAGAGAAGCATGGACAGATGCAGAGAGAAGACGAAGCTTGGGTGTGAGGGAGGGATCAGGGCACAGGATGGCAGACAGGGCACCTCCAAACCCTCCTACACGGCCTGCATGAAGGCCCGCGGCCAGGGCTCCAGGCACACAGGCAGATGGAGAAAACGGTCAGGAGAGACCCAGAGGAGAGAGACTGGGCTCAGTTTGGGAAGATCAGAGGTTCCCTCAGCCCCTCAACATTACCCATTTCCCAGAAGCCCATCCTGGCCTCTCACCCACACAGGGATGTCATCACCAGCAACCCCTACACCCTTTACTTTTGTTTGAAGAAATATTTATTGAGGATAAATATACCTATATAGCTTACCACCTTTAACATTTTTTTTTTTTTTGAGGCAGAGTCTAGCTCTGTCCCCTATGCTGGAGTGCAGTGGCACAATCTCAGCTCACTGCAACTTCCGCCTCCTGGGTTCAAGTGATTCTCCTGCTTCAGCCACCTGAGTAGCTGGTGCTACAGGCGCGCACCACCACGCCAGGCTACTTTTTGTATTTTTAGTAGAGAGGGGGTTTCACCATGTTGGTCGAGCTGGTCTCCAACTCCTGACCACGTGATCCACCCGCATCTGCCTCCCAAAGTGCTGGGATTACAGGCATGAGCCACCACGCCCAGCCACATTTACCATTTTTAAGTGTAAAGTCTAGTGGTCATAAATACATTTATATATATATATATATATATATATATACACACACACACACATATATAAACATATATATATATATATATATATATATATTTTTTTTTTTTTTTTTTTTTACCCTCCACCCTTTTATTCCTGGCCTCTGGAAGCCACCATTCTACTCTCTACCTTCATGAGATCCACCTTTTAGCTCTGTATATGGGTGAGAAATGGGAATCTTTGTAATGACTTCCAGTTCCATCCATGTGGCTGCAAATATCAGGATGTTATTCTTTCTATGGATGAGTAGTCTCCACTGTGCGTATGTACTACATTCTCTCTATCCATTCATCCACTGATGGGCAGGTAGGTTGACTCCACATCTTGGCTACTGTGAACAGTGCTGCACCAATCATACGAGTGCAGATATCACTTCGATATATTGATTTACTTTCCTTTGGATATAAACCCAGTAGTGAAATTGCTGGATACTATGAAAGTTCTCTTTTTAGTTATTCGTTTGTTGTTTTGTTTTTGTTTTTGAGACAGTTTCCCTCTGTGCCCAGGCTGGAGTACAAGTGAAGTCATCTTGGCTCATTGCAACCTCCGCCTCCTGGGTTCAAATGATTTTCCTGCCTCAGCCTCCCTAGTAGCTGGGATTACAGGTGCACGCCACCATGCCTGGCTACTTTTTGTTTTTTTTAGTATAGATGGGGTTTCCCCATGTTGGCTGGGCTGCTCTCAAACTCATGACCTCAACTGAGGTGCCCGCCTCGGTCTCCCAAAGTGCCGGGATTACAGGCATGATCCACCTCACCCAACCTCTTTTTAGTTCTTTAAAGGACTTCCACACTTTTCTCCGTAAAGGCTGTACTAATTTACACTCCTACCAACAGGGTATTAGGGTTCTCCTTTCTCTACCACTTTGGCAGGATTTCCTTTGCCTGTCTTGCAGCTAAAAGCCATTTTATTTTATTTCATTTTATTTTGAGATGGAGTTTCGCTCTTGTCACCCAGGCTGGAGTGCAGTGGTGCGATCTCGGCTCACCACAACCTCCACCTCCCAGGTTCAAGCGATTCTCCTGCCTCAGCCTCCCGAGTAGCTGGAATTACAGGCACACGCCACCACGCCCAACTAAATTTTGTATTTTTAGTAGAGACAGTGTTTCTTCATGTGGGTCAGACTGGTCTCAAACTCCCGACCTTATGAGGTTCACCCACCTCAGGCTCTCAAAGGTCTAGGATGACAGACGTGAGCCACCACGCCCGGCCTAAAATCCATTTTAATGGGGTGAGATGAAAACTCACTTTGATTTTAATTTGTGTTTCTCTGATGATGAGTGAAACTGAGCACTTTTTAGTATGTGGGGAAATTTCATGTGTTTTGCTCCTTTTTCAATTAAATCGTTTGTTTTATTGAGTTGTTTGAGCTTCTTATATTTCTAGTTATTAATCCCATCTCAGATGCATAGTTTGCACATATTTGCTCCCAATCTGTGGGTTGTCTCTTCACTTTGTTGGTTTATTTTTAGCGGTGCAGAAGTTGCTTAGTTTGAGGTAATCCCAATGGTCTATTTTTGCTTCGATTACTTGTGTTTTGAAGGTTTAAAACAAAATGTCTTCCTTCAGACAAATGTCCTGGAGCATTTCCCCAATATTTTCTTCTACGTGTTTCATAGGTTCAGGCCTTAGACTCACATCTTTAATCCATTTTCATTTGAGTTTTGTGTATAGTGACAGGTAGAGGTGCAGTTTCATTCCTCTGCATGTAGATGTCCAGGTTTCCCTGCACTGTTTATTGAAAAGACTGTCCTTTCCTGATTGTGAGTTCTTGGCACCTTTGTCAAAGTCCATTGGATGGGCTGGGCATGGTGGCTGACACCTGCAATTTCAGCACTTTGGGAGCCCAAGGCGGGTGGATCACCTGAGGCCAGGAGTTCAAGATTAGTCTGGCCGACGTGATGAAACATTGTCTCCACTAAAAATATAAAAATTAGCTGAGCATGGTGGTCAGCACCTGTAATACCACTACTCAGGAGTTTGAGGCCAGAGAATTGATTGAACCCAGGAGGCTGTGGTGGCAGTGAACCGAGATTGCACCTCTGCACTCCAGCCTGGGTGACAGAGCGAGACTCCATCTCAAAAGAAAAAAGAAAAAAACATTGGAGGTAAATGCATGGATTATATCTGTGTTCTTCATTCTGCTCCATTGTTCTACGTGCCTTTCTTTATGCCAATGTGATGCTGTTTTGCTTACTACAGCTCTGTAACATATTTTGAGATCAGGTAGTGTGATGCTCCTGTTTTCTCTTTATACCTTGAAGTCTCAAGACAGTGGGCGTCACATACAAAAATTACGGAAAAAAGGATCCCAGGACTCCCAGGGCCCAATATTAGATAACAGAGTGTTGGCCATGAACCAACCTCAAAGATTTCCATTGAGTAGAGGACAGACACCCTCATTTCCTCACCTCTCTCCTGTCTCGTGTTCTAGGAAACCCTTCAAATAGTTGGCCTTCACCCACTGAACCAAGCTCCGAAACCGGTGAGTACAGAACCCTCTTATATCCGCTTTTGGAAACCTGGGGAGGTAGAAACCTTCGATGCAGGCATTGACTCAGCATCTCGCAGCTCTGACATTGTACGCCTGTCTTCTACCATCTCCGAACTCCAGATACTCCAACAGCGAAAGGGATCTGGGCCCAACCTAGGGCTCAGTGAAATCTCTTAATCTCTCATTTTATGGAGCTGAGACCTCCTACAAGCTAGAAGAATGATTGCCAATCTGACATCCTTCTCAGGAAAAATGCAATGTTTGTTCTGCCTGCATTCCTAACTGGAGGATAAATTCCTGGGGGCTTGAGAGAGGGAAGGGAAGGGAACATCTGATGAGGGCGAGGTGTTTTAGAGAAGTTCCACTTGCCAAGGAATGAATTACTGTTGGTCATGAAGCAACCCTGGCTGACTCAGCAGAGCAACAGCCTTGCCGTAACAGAGAACGGAGCTCATGCACGCACACTTCGACTCACTGACTCATTCAGCCACGGCCCCATGCTCAGGCTGTGCAGTGCGGAACCTTTTCCTATTGTTGCCATAACAAATTTCCACAAGATTCGTGGGTGAAAACAAAACGGTTTTTTAATTATCTTACAGTGCTGTAGCTCAAAGTAGGAAGTGCATCTTACTGGGCTAAAATCAAGGTGACAGCAAGGCTGCCTTCCCTCTGAGGATTCCAGGCAAGAATCTGCTTCTCACTTATCCCAGCTTCTAAAGGCTCCCAGTTCCTTGGCTCCTGTTCCCCTTCCTCCTTCCTCAAAGCCCACAAAGACTGGTCACATCTCACATGGCATCACTCAGTGCCTTCTTCCTTACCACACCTCTTTCTCTGAATGCTGCTCTCCCTTCTTCCTTATCTTTTGAAAACTTGGGGATTCTATTGGGTTCACCAAGATGAAAATCCCTCATAATCTCCTGGAAATCATCCAGGATACCCTTGTTTTAAGTTCAGCTGATTAGCAACCGCAATTCCATCTACAATCTTCATTCCTCCTTTCCATGTAAAATAACATATTCACAAGCTATGGAGGCTAGGACAGGGACATTTTGGGGTGGGACAGCATTCTCCTGCCTTCCACAAACGGTGAACAAGATGCATTTGGCTTCTGCCCTTGGGACACTGATATTGCAGATGGTTAAATGGGAGGGCAGAAAATGAATGCACAAGTGGATCTATAAATGAATGATCCATTGGGAAGCATCTGTGCATGAAATCTATTTTTTGTTTGTTCTTTTGTTTATTGAGACAGAGTCGCCCTCTGTCTTCCAGGCTACAGTGCAGTGTCACGATCTTGGCTCACTGCAACCTGCGTCTCCTGGATTCAAGTGATTCTCCTGCCTCCGCCTCTCGAGTAGCTGGGATTACAGGCAACTGCCACCGTGCCCGGCTAATTCTTTTTGTATATTTTTTGTAGAGAGGATGTTTCACCACGTTGGCCAAGCTTGTCTGAAACTCCCAACCTCAAGTGATCCGACCGTCTCAGCATGCCAAAGTAATGGGACTACAGGCGTGAGCCACTGTGCCCAGCCAGAATTCAAAATCAATAATAGATAATGCTGAGTGTATGATTTCAGGTGACAAAGAAGGTCTCACTATTCAGATATTTGTGACATTAATGAAAAACACGGATTGAACCCCTGAAAGATTGGCGGAAGGATTTTGCACACACAGCTGTCAGCCGTGAAGGCACAAAGGTGAAAACAATCTGATGTGGAAGGAAGAGGCTCTGCCTCAAATGCTGGGAATGATGTGGGGAGAATGACAAGACGACTGTAGAGAGACGGAGAGCACACTGGGTACACAGGAAACTAAGGAGCAACAAGGAGTGTGTGTTTGACACTCACAGCCATTGGATTCACCTCGGGGTAACCAGGAATCCCTACATGATTAATATGACTGACATGAAAATAAGGGAGGCTCAGTTGCATAACTGGAATCTAGGAGACCGTGGAAAAGGCAATTGCCACCCCACTGGTGAAATGTGGTGCTGATTTAGACACTAAATGAATGAAGTAGATGGATATAAGATATGTTTGTGAGGTAGAATCATTGACTGGAAACGCTTACTGGGTTTGATTTTCCTACTTGTTTAATCCTCGCTTAATTAATTTCTTTCTGAGATTTATTCATCCTACACATAAATCAATACCTGGCAAAGGAGTGACAGATATATGAGTGGTGGTGGAAATGAAGAGACTTATTATAGCATAATATACAAGTCTGTGAACAGTGGCTCACGCCTGTAACCTAGCACTGCAGGAGGCCAAGGTGGGTGGATTCCATGAAGTCAGGAGTTCCAGACCAGCCTGGCCAACGTGGTGAAACCCTATCTCTACTAAAAATACAAAAATTAGCCGAGCACGATGGTGCATCCCTGTAATCCCAGCTCCTATTCTGGAGGATGAAGCAGGAGAATGACTTCAACCCAGTAGGTGGAGGTTGCAGTGAGTGGAGATTGCATCACTGCACTCCAGCCTGGGGGACACAAGGAGACTCTATCTCAAAAAATAAAAATAAGAAATACATAAATATAATAAAACACACACGAATGACAAAGGCACCTGAATTCCAATCATCGTTTTTCTATTTCTCTATAATTACTTCTTTGATCCTTTATCTTATCCATTAGGCAATGAGCTTAAAACCTCTTCCCTATTTGGCTTTCTGTGAGAATGAGATCACATAGAAAATGTGAAAGCCCTCAGAATCCTCCAGCACAGATCGTGGAATAGAGAAAGTGCTCTGTTCATCGCAACAAAAAACTTGCCCACTCACCCAAATCCCCCACCTCACCCCTACTTCCAATCACCTGTGGAGATTCAGATAGGCTATGGGGAGGTAAACATTGATACTCCTTGGAGTGAGTCCAGATCTTGGAATCAGAGATCAGTGCCAGCACTAGCTCCTGCTCCCCTTTCCTACTAATTCACAGGAGGACAGGTGGTATTGAAGCAATAGATGGCCGAGGGGGTGGTCCTTCCCCCAGCCTCTCGGGTAGAACAGCAGCCTAACATGTGTCTCCCGAGATCACAAAGAGTAGCACGTTTCACACGGGCTTCAACACTATTTCCTGGCCATTTGACATAAGAGAATTCTACTTAGCTTTTTTTATCTTGATTTCACTTTTGTTTCCTTTTCTTGGAGAATGCAAGTTGTTTGATTCAAGAATGCTGTGGATGTAGAAATCCTAAAGCACATTCGCTGTGTATCAATCCCAGTGCAGTCTTCCCAGAGAAGACTCTAAATACCTCCTGGACTGCACCTGGGCTTATGCCAATTCCTATCACTCACCGTCACTCCAGGGAGACAGAACACACAGAGAATACATTACACAGGCAGGTTCATTACTAACAGATAAGCAGCGAGTGACAACAGAAACCTACATTTCAATGTGAGCCAGTCCCTCAAGGCTCAGAAAAGCTACTCGGGACATATGGAGTCACCCCATTTGCAGTGTAGCTGGGGGAAGCCAGAGAGCAGCCCAGCCTGGGTTTTGTACTGTGGAGCCACAGGAAGCACTCAGCTAAAGCACTGCATGACGTCCTCCTCCAGGAAGAACAGGAAGACAGCCCAGGCTGTTCTGAGACGTTCCTCCTGATCTCAGGACGTTGCTGTCTTAGTCCATTTTTGTTGCTCTAAAGGAACACTTGAGCCTGGGTAACTTCTAGAGAAAAGAGATTGGTTTGCCTCACAGTTCTGCAGGCTGTACTGGAAGCGTGGCACCAGCATCTATTTCTCGTGACGGCCTCAGGCTGCTCCCACTCTGGCAGAAGGGAAGGAGGGTCTGTCTGTGCAGAGACCACAGAGATCACACGGCAAGAGAGGGAGCAAGGGGGAGGGGGAGCGATGGAGCTTCCAAGCTCTTTTGAACAACCAGCTCTCCAGGAACTAATAGAAGGGGAACTTGCTAACCCCGTCTCCTTGGGACAGCATTGGTCTGTTCATGATGGATCCACCTCCATGACCCAAACACCTCTCAAGAGGCCCAACCTCCCACAGTGGGGGTGAAATTTCAATGTGAGGTTTGAAGGGGTCAAACATCTCAACTAAAGTAGTTGTATCCTCAACACGTTCTATGGTTACTATGAGAGCTATAACTGAGAAAGCAGGAGAAAGCTGGGTCTCCCTCCATCTGGGTGCTTGTCCTAAAGGGGTGTTGTATGTGGTTACCTGTCAATCAAGAAATGTGAGACAATTCATAAAGAGGAACTGCTATGATTAGCTTCTTATTGGTGTCTCCTCTTCTTCCAGGTAACCCCAGACACCTGCATGTTCTGATTGGGACCTCAGTGGTCATCATCCTCTTCATCCTCCTCCTCTTCTTTCTCCTTCATCGCTGGTGCTGCAACAAAAAAAGTAAGTCTCACGAAGCAGAGGCCAGAGAGCTCAGGGCCATGTGGGGAAGCAGGATGGGAGCACTCAGGTGTGTGTTCCTCACAGACAGGATGGTCCCTGGCCCAAGGCAGCAGCCACAGAGGGAGGACTTTCTAGAGAGAGCACCAGACTCCCTGTCCCTGCCTTCAGCTCACAGACCATTGCCTGATTCTGAACTGTATCCTCATGTCCCCTGCAGCCACTCACATCCAGGAGAAGGTTCCATGACAGGCAGAAAGTGGGAGACAGAATCAATGGGATGGGAACTCAGAGCTATTCATGGGATGGGTCCTTGAGCTCAGAGAGATAGAATGTCTGAGTCTGCTGTTGGCAACTGAGGGACCTCAGGCTCCTATGGTCTCCCCCTGTATGTTGGTATCTGCTTATGAAATGAGGGCCCAGAAGTGCCCTCTGAGCTGTTTTGTTGACTTCCGTCTTCTACAGATGCTGTTGTAATGGACCAAGAGCCTGCAGGGAACAGAACAGTGAACAGGGAGGTAGGTGCTCCTCGGCCCAGCCTCGTGGCTAGTGTTATTCCCAAAGAGTCCTGGAAAATGTGAGCACCCTCCCTCACTCAGCATTTCCCTCTCTCCAGGACTCTGATGAACAAGACCCTCAGGAGGTGACATATGCACAGTTGAATCACTGCGTTTTCACACAGAGAAAAATCACTCGCCCTTCTCAGAGGCCCAAGACACCCCCAACAGATATCATCGTGTACACGGAACTTCCAAATGCTGAGCCCTGATCCAAAGTTGTCTCCTGCCCATGAGCACCACAGTCAGGCCTTGAGGGGATCTTCTAGGGAGACAACAGCCCTGTCTCAAAACTGGGTTGCCAGCTCCAATGTACCAGCAGCTGGAATCTGAAGGCGTGAGTCTGCATCTTAGGGCATCGCTCTTCCTCACACCACAAATCTGAACGTGCCTCTCCCTTGCTTACAAATGTCTAAGGTCCCCACTGCCTGCTGGAGAGAAAACACACTCCTTTGCTTAGCCCACAATTCTCCATTTCACTTGACCCCTGCCCACCTCTCCAACCTAACTGGCTTACTTCCTAGTCTACTTGAGGCTGCAATCACACTGAGGAACTCACAATTCCAAACATACAAGAGGCTCCCTCTTAACACGGCACTTAGACACGTGCTGTTCCACCTTCCCTCATGCTGTTCCACCTCCCCTCAGACTAGCTTTCAGCCTTCTGTCAGCAGTAAAACTTATATATTTTTTAAAATAATTTCAATGTAGTTTTCCCTCCTTCAAATAAACATGTCTGCCCTCATGGTTTAGGTAATGGGACTCTTTTCTTGCCTAAGGCTTCCGGTGTTATCAGTACCATGTCCATATAATCCCATCTGTTCTCCACCGGGTTCTCACCTCTGGACTCTGAGCTTCTGGAAGCAGTGTGGAGCCTCATTTGTCTCTGGGACTCCAATTTCCATCCAAAGATGCAGCACATAGGAGGTTCCAAGGATCGGGAATCACATGAACAAGTGACATTGTTACTCTCTGCAGACCTGGAAAGCTGGCAGAGTCATTCCACGATGAAACATTTGTAGAGTCATAGGCCTTGTTAGTCTCATCTCCATGGGGACACATATCAACACATCATCTTTCATACTATAAATATACGGTCACTCCTCCGTATCTGTGGGGTTTACAGGTCTTTATTGAACAAAGTATAAATCAAAAATATTCAGAGAAAATATCCACAGAGTTCCAAAACTCATAACTATGTTGAATGGACACAAATGAAGCTGTGTGTAGGCTGTATCAGGAATTATAAGTAATCAAGAGATGATTTCATGTATACAGGAGGATGTGCATATGTTATTTGCAAGCGCTGTGCCATTTCATATAAGAGGCTTGAGCATCTACAGATTTTGGTATCTGAGTGGAGATCTCGAAACCAATCACCCACGAATAGTGAAGGATGACCGTATATGACTTTTATTTCTCAAATTTAAATATAAATCAAAAAATGTACAACTAGATAAAAACTAAGAAGTGTTTTTATAGTGTGAGTTAGATTTATTTTTTACTAGGTGTAACCCATTGGTTTAATATTATTTATTGAGAAGACATTCTATGCCACCTTAAACCACACGGCAGCCTTTGTCAACTCTAAAGGGACTGTGTGTACATGGATGTATTTTAGACAGTTTCTGCTAAGGGGCTGTCTGTGTCCACACACTTGATGATGCTACACTTTATGTAGCCTTATAGAACCCTTTAAATTTAGTAGCCAGAGCCCTCTAATTTGTTATTATAGGCTATTTGCTTTTTTTTTTCTTGAGGCGGAGTCTTGCTCTGTCGCCCAGGCTGGACTGCAGTGACACAATCTCAGCTCACTGCAACCTCCGCCTCCCAGGTTCAAGCGATTCTCGTGCCTCAGCCTCTTGAGTAGCTGGCGTTACAGGTGCCTGCCACCAGGCATGGCTAATTTTTGGATTTTTAGCAGAGACACGGTTTCACTATGTTGGCCAGGCTGCTCTCAATCCCCTCATCTCAGTTGATCCGCCCACCTCGGCTTCCCGACGTGCTGGGGAAACTTGATTTTCTATAGCATTATGTTACTGGATATTTCTGTAAAATTTAAAATGAGGGAGGCAGAGAGACAGAGAGAGATCAAACTCCAGAGTTGGGACTCTGGAATCTTGGGTCATGAGACAAATTTTAGATTAAACTACAAAACTCCAGAATTTACAGGTGTGGTTTTTGCTGATAAAGTACAATTCTAAGATTGTAAATAATTGCATAATCCTTCCCTGGGAATTTAAATCATTTTAACTGGTTCTGCTGTAATACTAGAAATACAAGCATGAAAAATTCTAATGGTTTATTAGTCACAATGACTCTGAAAACCTTAATAATACCTATTAAATATTTTGCATATTACACATGAAGAAGAGTTTGAATCTCAGATAAAAACAATAAAAATACATGAAAAGTCTTTCACGTTAGCACAGATTTTAGGCATCTCGTGTTCAGGAGGTTGGATCTGAGACGTGTTTTGAGTTGGTCATAGTGAAGGACGCTAGGTGTAAATTCTAGTGAGAACAATTTCCAGGAAGCCGTGTTCCGCTCTTGAGCGAGCACCCACTGGGCCTCATGCAAGGTAGAATGAGCCTGCGTACGTCACCCTCCCATGATGTGGTCAACATGTAAACTGCATGGGCAGGGCGCCAAATAACATCCTGTGCGCTGCTGAGCTGAGCTGGGGCACGGCCGCCTGTCTGCACCGGCAGCACCATGTCGCTCACGGTCGTCAGCATGGCGTGTGTTGGTGAGTCCTGGAAGGGAATAGAGGAAGGGAGTGTGGGGTTGGAGATCTGGGCCCAGAGGTGGAGATATAGGCCTGGAGGTGGAGTTGTGGGCCTGGAGTGGAGATCTGGGCCTGGAGTGGATATATGGGCCTAGAGATGGAGTGATGGGCCTAGAAGTGGAGATCTGGGCCTGGAGTGCCGATAGGAACCTGGAGGGGAGATAGGAGCCTGGAGTGGAGATATGGGCCTGGAGGTGGAGTTATAGGCCTATAGTAGAGATATGGGCCTGGAGTGGAGATTTGGGCCAGGAGTGGAGATATGGGCCTAGAGGTGGATATCTGGGCCTAGAGTGGAAATATGGGCCTAGGATGGAGATATGGGCCTGGTTGTGGAGATATGGGACTGGAGAGGAGATATGGGCCTAGAGTGGAGATATGGGCTTGGGGTGGAGATCTGGGCCTGGGGTGGAGATATGGGCCTGGAGGTGGAGTTACGGGCCTTCAGTAGAGATATGGGCCTGGGGTGGAGATATGGGCTTGGGGTGGAGATCTGGGCCTGGAGTGGAGATATGGGCCTGGAGGTGGAGTTACTGGCCTTCAGTAGAGATATGGGCCTGGTGTGGAGATATGGGCCTGGATTGGAGATATGGGCCTAGGTTGGAGATCTGAGCCTGGAGTGGAGATATGGGCCTGGATTGGAGATATGGGCTTACAGTGGAGATCTTGGCCTGGATTGGCGATATGGGCCTGGATTGGCGATATGGGCCTATGATGGAAATATCGGCCTGGAGTGGAGATATGGGCCTGGAGTGGAGATACAGGCCTAGGGTGGAAATATTGGCCTGGAGTGGAGATATGGGCTTGTGGTGGGGATATGGGCTTGTGGTGGGGATCTGGGCTTGGAGGCTGGGTCTCTGCACAGCCGACAGCCCTGTTCTTGGGTGCAGGTAGGCACTGAGGGTGAGTTTAACTTCAGTCCAGGAAGGGCCTGCCTACCAAGACTCACAGCCCAGTGAGGGCAGCAAGGGAGGGCTGGTTTGCCTGCAGATGGATCGTCCATCATGATCTTTCTTTCCAGGGTTCTTCTTGCTGCAGGGGGCCTGGCCACATGAGGGTGAGTCCTTCTCCAAACCTTAGGGTGTCATCTCCCCACATAAGAGGATTTTCCTGAAACAGGAGGGAAGTCCTGTCAGGGAGCCTCTCATAAACTAGGAAGAGGGGACCCTGGGGTGCTCGGCCCACAGTTCCGACCTCGCCTCCCTGGCCTTTCATTCCCTTGGCAGAGTCAAGTTCTGTGGGGACCAGGGTTAGACTGGGGTGCTCAAAGCTGGGGTGCGTGGTGGGGAAGTGGTAGGAACAGCAGATCCTCTGAGGACAAAGGTGTTACTCACACTTCAGCGTTTCCATGACGGTAGGGGCTGCAGTGTGGCTGCTGTCACTCCACCAGAAGAGGTGGGAAACCACAGCCATGGCCCTGACATTCCAAATCCTCTGATGGGGGCTCAGTTGCTTATTTTCATTCAGGCATCTGCTGATATTCCATTCTCAAAGACATGCCCTCCACCCCATGTCTACCCTGTGTTGTTTTATGTGAGTAATCTTACAGTATTAAAATCTAGTAGGAGTCTCTTACTCAGCACTTGCTCAAAGTTCTCAGCTGACACTTTTGTTGTAGGGAGACACCTTGTGTTTGCGGGATGGGTCCTTCCTTTAGCCCTGGGCACCAAGGTGTGATAGCAGCCATAGAAACTTGGAAAGCGAGGAGAATCTTCAGAGCACAGGGAGGGAGGGGTGGCTCCACATCCTCCTCTCTAAGGCGGTGCCTCCTTCTCCCCAAGGTGGTCAGGACAAGCCCTTGCTGTCTGCCTGGCCCAGCTCTGTGGTGCCTCCAGGACATGTGATTCTTCGGTGTCATTCTTATCTTGGGTTTAACAACTTCAGTCTGTAAAAGGAAGATGGGGTGCCTGGCACTGAGCTCTACAACAGAATATTCTGGAAGAGCCTTTTCATGGGCCCTGTGACCCCAGCACACACAGGGACGTACAGATGTCGGGGTTCACACCCACACTACCCCAGTGGGTGGTCGGCACCCAGCAACACCCTGGTGATCATGGCCACAGGTCAGAGGGCTCCTGTCTTGGATTCTCCTTTCCCACCTCCTGAATCCCAGAGCTTCTGGTGGGCGTGTCCTTGAGGGTCCCATCACCCAGGCCCTGACTATATTTGGGGTAAAGGGGGATTGAATACAGGGAAATGGGTGCTGTGGTGGGAAGAATAATTGTCCCCAGTGATGACTACATTCTAATCCCTGGAGTCTGTGACTATTTATGTTATAGGGGAAGGAACTGAAGGGGAAGATGGAGCTCAGGTTGTTGATGAGTTGACCTTGAGATGGGGAGACAGCCTGGACTGTCCCGCTGGGCTCAGTGTAATCACAAGGGTCCACATGAAAGGAGGAGGAAGAGGGGAGTGGGGATTAGAGCAGCGCAATGGGAGACTCCACCAGCTTTGAAGGTGGAGGAAGGCCAGGAGCCATGAATGCAGGTGGCCTGTAGAGGTTGGAAAAGTCAAGGAAATGATTCTCCAGAGTCTCCAGAGGGAACGAAGCCCTGCAGATGCCTTGATTTTAGCCCAGGAAAAACAGGGTCCTATTTCTGTCTCCAGTAGTGAAATGGGTCAGTGTGCTCTCTCCTGCTGCCATGCTTCTGATAATTTTCTACAGCAGCAACAGGAAACCAACACTGGAACCCAGGTCAAGGACAAGGTAAGAAACAACACAAGGATAGCCGGGTGTGGTGGCAGGCGCATGTAATCCTAGCGACTTGGGAGGCTGAGGGCAGGAGAATCACTTGAACCCAGGAGACAGAGGTTGCAGTGACCCTAGACCACACCACTTCACTCCAGCTGGGGTGAAGGAGTGAGACTCTGTCTCCATAATTAATTAATTAATTAAAGGAACCAAACAAGGGGAAGGTTGGCTACACCGAGATGAGCAAGTGTGGGATGATGATGCCACCACCAGGCTCCATCCACATAGGGAGGGGTTGATACTCCTCAAACCAGCACCAGGAGCCAGCCTATGGAAGCTGGCACCATGGAGAAGGCACAGGCATGGCAAGAGTGGCTCCCAGTCCCGACCAGGAACAGGGTGTGTGGACACTGGTGCCTGCCTTATTCATCAGTTCATACCTACTGCCAAGGATTCCAATTCATCCAAAAGAGATTGAACCAGGCTGATAAGAGGCTGGATGTGCAGCCTATCCTGGTTCCTCTTTCACCCCCACATAAACAGCAGGAAAGACATTAGTGTGAAATAGATACAACACCCCAAGAGATGAGGCTAAGCCCAGTGGGAAGGGAATCAGAGGGGACTAGAGACAGAGGGACAGAGAAGAGGGAGGGAGACAGATGGAAGGACCTGCACCAGGAGTTATGGGCACAGAAAAGAACATGAAGACACAGAGAGGAAGGAGAGAGACAGACACCAGCAAGGGGAAGCCTCACTCATTCTAGGTGCCATGGATGGGATGATAAAGAGAGACACCTTCTAAACTCACAACCTCTCTTCCTAGGAGTCCACAGAAAACCTTCCCTCCTGGCCCACCCAGGTCCCCTGGTGAAATCAGAAGAGACAGTCATCCTGCAATGTTGGTCAGATGTCAGGTTTCAGCACTTCCTTCTGCACAGAGAAGGGAAGTTTAACGACACTTTGCACCTCACTGGAGAGCACCATGATGGGGTTTCCAAGGCCAACTTCTCCATCGGTCCCATGATGGAAGACCTGGCAGGGACCTACAGATGCTACGGTTCTGTTACTCACTCCCCCATCAGTTGTCAGCTCCCAGTGACCCTCTGGACATCGTCATCACAGGTGAGAGTGTCCGGACATTCTTCTCATTGTCATTGGGATGCAGAGTGAATGATCCACGACTTGGAACCCCCAGGTAGTTGTAAGGAAGATGAGCTTGGTATTCTTATGGAGAGAGACTGACTTGGTGAGGTCTGTACCAACAGAGACAGAGAAACAGGAGACACAAGTACAGACCAGGTGTCATAACAGAGGACAGACACAGGGGCCATACCGGGAGTTAGAAAAGACAGAAGGAGTTAAAGGAGACAGACAGACAGACATGTCCCAGAGAGAGGTGTCCCTCCATGCTGACTTTGCTCAGAGACCTGGCACAGGTTAGAAGTTTCATTTCTGTTTTACCTCCACAAAGTGTTCTCTACCAGGAGAACCCAAGGACACCCATATTTCTGACCTGAGTTGGGCCCTGTGGCCTCAGGCCTTGTGGCACCTACAGATGCCGTGTTTATTCTGACACCTCTGCCTTCCATGTAATGGAGAGTAACCGTCCCAGGATATCATGGCCCCAGAACACCAACTCCTGTATGCTGTGTGAACTTGTGGTCTCCAGACTGGATTCTGAGGCTCACATTCCAAATAACCCCACATATGAAAGGATCACTGAGAGGCACAGAGAGAAATCAGGGACACCAAAAAGCAAAGACATAAACACACAGAGAATGAGCCAGAGGAAGGAGATTGAGAGACTCACAGACACATAAAGAGAGAGAAAAGAGGGCAGAGGAGTGGTGAGAATGATGGAAGGGAGCAGAGAAAAGCACTAAAATTAGACTCCTGAGGGAGAGGCACAAGGACATAGAAAGATGGAGATGTGGGGATGAATTGCAGAGATTCCAAAGAGAACTAGAGAGACCGAGAGGCAGAGCAAGACAGATGATAGATGGATAGATATAGATAGATGATAAATAGGTAGATGATAGATAATAGGTTAAAGATACATAGATGATGATTGATTGATTCATTAATAGATGAGACATAGAGATGATGATGATGAAGACAGATAGATAATACATAGAGATAGAGAGGCAGACAGAAGTCATAGAGAGAGAGATGATACATAGATATAGATAACAGATGATTGATGGATAGATAGACAAGTGATAGATACATAGATGATATATAGATATAGATGACAGGTAGAGAATTTGTAGATAGGCACCGAATAGATAAATAGATAGATCGATAGATAATAGATAGAAATATGCAGAAAGTTATGAACAGGACACAAAGTGAGAAACTTAGAATTTAAAAAAGTAACATCAAGTCAACCAATCCAAGGAGAGTCAGAGAGAATAAAACAATCCAAAAAGGGAAAACATATCTAGAGGTGTGGAAGCGAGGTCAGAGACCTAGAGAGACAGAGAAGGTGGAAGGAGGAAATAGACATGAAGAGAGATGGGGTGGAGGGTGAGAGAGAGAGAGAGAGAGAGCATTAGGTCATAGAGCAGGGGAGTGAGTTCTCAGCTCAGGTGAAGGGAGCTGTGACAAGGAAGATCCTCCGTAAGGAAAATGCCTCTTCTCCTTCCAGGTCTATATGAGAAACCTTCTCTCTCAGCCCAGCCGGGCCCCACGGTTCTGGCAGGAGAGAGCGTGACCTTGTCCTGCAGCTCCCGGAGCTCCTATGACATGTACCATCTATCCAGGGAGGGGGAGGCCCATGAACGTAGGTTCTCTGCAGGGCCCAAGGTCAACGGAACATTCCAGGCTGACTTTCCTCTGGGCCCTGCCACCCACGGAGGAACCTACAGATGCTTCGGCTCTTTCCGTGACTCTCCCTACGAGTGGTCAAACTCGAGTGACCCACTGCTTGTTTCTGTCACAGGTGAGGAAAGCCCATGGCTGTCCCATGTCCTATGATCCTAGAGCCTTAGCTGAGGAGCTTCCTGCTGAGGATGGAGAGAAGGATGAACAGATGCAGAGAGAAGACGAAGCTTGGGTGTGAGGGAGGGATCAGGGCACAGGATGGCAGACAGGGCACCTCCAAACCCTCCTACATGGCCTGCATGAAGGCCTGCGGCCAGGACTCCAGGCACCCAGGCAGATGGAGAAAGCGGTCAGGAGAGACCCAGAGGAGGGAGACTGGGCTCAGTTTGGGAAGATCAGAGGTTCCCTCAGCCCCTCAACATTACCCATTTCCCAGAAGCCCATCCTGGCCTCCCACCCACACAGGGATGTCATCACCTGCAACCCCTACACCCTTTACTTTTGTTTGAGAAATATTTATTGAGGATAAATATACCTATATAGCTTACCACCTTTAACATTTTTTTTTTGAGGCGGAGTCTAGCTCTGTCCCCTATGCTGGAGTGCATTGGCACAATCTCAGCTCACTGCAACTTCCGCCTCCTGGGTTCAAGCGATTCTCTTGCCTCAGCCACCTGAGTAGCTGGTGCTACAGGCGCGCACCACCATGCCAGGCTACTTTTTGTATTTTTAGTAGAGAGGGGGTTTCACCATGTTGGTCAAGCTGGTCTCGAACTCCTGACCACGTGATCCACCCGCATCAGCCTCCCAAAGTGCTGGGATTACAGGCATGAGCCACCACGCCCAGCCACATTTACCATTTTTAAGTGTAAAGTCTAGTGGTCATAAATACATTAATATATATATATATACACATATTTTTTTTTACCCTCCACCCTTTTCTTCCTGGCCTCTGGTAGCCACCATTCTACTCTCTACCTTCATGAGATCCACCTTTTAGCTCCTGTATATGGGTAAGAAATGGGAATCTTTGTAATGACCTCCAGTTCCATCCATGTGGCTGCAAATATCAGGATGTTTTTCTTTCTATGGAAGAGTAGTCTCCACTATGCAAATGTACCACATTCTCTCTATCCATTCACCCACTGATGGGCAGGTAGGTTGACTCCTCATCTTGGCTACTGTGAAGAGTGCTGCACCAATCATACGAGTGCAGATATCACTTCGATATATTGATTTACTTTCCTTTGGATATAAACCCAGTAGTGAAATTGCTGGATACTATGAAAGTTCTCTTTTTAGTTTTTCGTTTGTTGTTTTGTTTTTGTTTTTGAGACAGTTTCCCTCTGTGCCCAGGCTGGAGTACAAGTGATGTCATCTTGGCTCATTGCAACCTCTGCCTCCTGGGTTCAAATGATTTTCCTGCCTCAGCCTCCCTAGTATCAGGGATTATAGGCGCACGCCACCATGCCTGGCTACTTTTTGTTTTTTTTAGTATAGATGCGGTTTCCCCATGTTGGCTGGGCTGCTCTCAAACTCATGACCTCAACTGAGGTGCCCGCCTCGGTCTCCCAAAGTGCCGGGATTACAGGCATGATCCACCTCACCCAACCTCTTTTTAGTTCTTTAAAGGACTTCCACACTTTTCTCCGTAATGGCTGTACTAATTTACACTCCTACCAACAGGATACCAGGATTCTCCTTTCTCTAACACCTTGCCAGCATTTCTTTTGCCTGTCTTGCAGCTAAAAGCCATTTTATTTTATTTCATTTTATTTTGAGATGGAGTTTCGCTCTTGTCACCCAGGCTGAGTGCAGTGGTGCGATCTCGGCTCACCACAACCTCCACCTCCCAGGTTCAAGCGATTCTCCTGCCTCAGCCTCCCGAGTAGCTGGAATTACAGGCACACGCCACCACGCCCGACTAATTTTTGTATTTTTAGTAGAGACAGTGTTTCTCCATGTGGGTCAGACTGGTCTCAAACTCCCGACCTTATGAGATTCACCCACCTCAGGCTCTCAAAGTTCTAGGATGACAGACGTGAGCCACCACGCCCGGCCTAAAAGCCATTTTAATGGGGTGAGATGAAAACTCACTTTGATTTTAATTTGTGTTTCTCTGATGATGAGTGATACTGAGCACTTTTTCGTATGTGGGGAAATTTCATGTCTTTTGCTCCTGTTTCAATTAAATCATTTGTTTTATTGAGTTGTTTGAGCTTCTTATATTTCTAGTTATTAATCCCATCTCAGATGCATAGTTTGCACATATTTGCTCCCAATCTGTGGGTTGTCTCTTCACTTTGTTGGTTTATTTTTAGCGGTGCAGAAGTTGCTTAGTTTGAGGTAATCCCAATGGTCTATTTTTGCTTCGATTACTTGTGTTTTGAAGGTTTAAAACAAAATGTCTTCCTTCAGACAAACGTCCTGGAGCATTTCCCCAATATTTTCTTCTACGTGTTTCATAGGTTCAGGCCTTAGACTCACATCTTTAATCCATTTTCATTTGATTTTTGTGTATAGTGACAGGCAGAGGTGCAGTTTCATTCCTCTGCATGTCGATGTCCAGGTTTCCCTGCACTGTTTATTGAAAAGACTGTCCTTTCCTGATTGTGAGTTCTTGGCACCTTTGTCAAAGTCCATTGGATGGGCTGGGCATGGTGGCTGACACCTGCAATTTCAGCACTTTGGGAGCCCGAGGTGGGTGGATCACCTGAGGCCAAGAGTTCAAGATTAGTCTGGCCAACGTGATGAAACATCGTCTCCACTAAAAATATAAAAATTAGCTGAGCATGGTGGTCAGCACCTGTAATACCACTACTCAGGAGTTTGAGGCAAGAGAAGTGATTGAACCCAGGAGGCTGTGGTGGCAGTGAACCGAGATTGCACCTCTGCACTCCAGCCTGGGTGACAGAGCAAGACTCCATCTCAAAAGAAAAACAAAAAATACATTGGAGGTAAATGCATGGATTATATCTGTGTTATTCATTCTGCTCCGTTGTTCTATGTGCCTTTCTTCATGCCAACGTCATGCTGTCTTGCTTACTACAGCTCTGTAACATATTTTGAGATCAGGTAGTGTGATGCTCCTGTTTTCTCTTTATACCTTGAAGTCTCAAGACAGTAGCCGTCACATACAAAAATTACGGAAAAAAGGATCCCAGGACTCCCAGGGCCCAATATTAGATAACAGAGTGTTGGCCATGAACCAACCTCAAAGATTTCCACTGAGTAGAGGACAGACACCCTCATTTCCTCACCTCTCTCCTGTCTCATGTTCTAGGAAACCCTTCAAATAGTTGGCCTTCACCCACTGAACCAAGCTCCAAAACCGGTGAGTACAGAACCCTCTTATATCCGCTTTTGGAAACCTGGGGAGGTGGAAACCTTGGATTCAGGCGTTGACTCAGCATCTCACAGCTCTGACATTGTACGCCTGTCTTCTACCATCTCCAAACTCCAGATACTCCAACAGCGAAAGGGATCTGGACCCAAAACAGGGCTCTGTGAAATCTCTTAATCTCTCATTTTATGGAGCTGAGATCTCCTACAAGCTAGAAAAATGATTGGCAATCTGACATCCTTCTCAGGAAAAATGCAATGTTTGTTCTGCCTGCATTCCTAACTGGAGGATAAATTCCTGGGGGCTTGAGAGAGGGAAGGGTAGGGAACATTTGATGAGGGCGAGGTGTTTTAGAGAAGTTCCACTTGCCCAGGAATGAATTACTGTTGGTCATGAAGCAACCCTGGCTGACTCAGCAGAGCAAGAGCTTTGCCTTAACAGAGAACGGAGCTCATGCACGCACACTTCGACTCACTGACTCATTCAGCCACGGCCCCATGCTCAGGCCGTGGAAAAGGCAATTCCCAGCACTGCAGGAGGCCAAGGCGGGTGGATCACTTGAAGTCAGGAGTTCCAGACCAGCCTGGCCAAAATGGTGAAACCCTGTCTCTATGAAAAATACAAAAATTAGCCGAGCATGGTGGTGCATCCCTGTAATCCCAGCTCCTACTCTTGAGGATGAAGCAGGAGAACGACTTCAACCCAGGAGGTGGAGGTTGCAGTGAGTGGAGATTGCATCACTGCACTCCAGCCTGGGTGACACAAGGAGACTCCGTCTCAAAAAATAAAAATAAGAAATGCATAAATATAATAAAACACACACGAATGACAAAGGCACCTGAATTCCAATCATCATTTTTGTATTTCTCTATAATTACTTCTTTGATCCTTTGTCTTATCCATTAGGCAATGAGCCTAAAACCTCTTCCGTATTTGGCTTTCTGTGAGCATGAGACCATATAGAAAATGTGAAAGCCTGCTGAATCCTCCAGCACAGATCGTGGAATAGAGAAAGTGCTCTGTTCATCACAAAAAAAACTTGCCCTCTCACTCAAATCCCCCACTTCACCCCTACTTCCAATCACCTGTGGAGATTCAGATAGACCATGGGGAGGTAAACATTAATACTCCTTGGAGTGAGTCCAGATCTTGGAATGAGAGATCAGCACCAGCACTAGCTCCTGCTCCCCTTTCCTACTAATTCACAGGAGGACAGGTGGTATTGAAGCAATAGATGGTGGAGGGGGTGGTCCTTCCCCCAGCCTCTCAGGTAGAACAGCAGCCTAACATGTGTCTCCCGAGATCACAAAGAGTAGGACGTTTCACAGGGGCTTCAACACGATTTCCTGGCTGTTGGACATAAGATAACTCTATTTCGCTTTTTTATCTTGATTTCACTTTTGTTTCCTTTCCTTGGAGAACGCAAGTTGTTTGACTCAAGAATGCTGTGGATGTAGAAATCCTAAAGCACATTCGCTGTGTGTCAATCCCAGTGCAGTCTTCCCAGAAAAGACCCTAAACACCTCCTAGACTGCACCTGGGCCTACGCCAATTCCTATCACTCACCGTCACTCCAGGGAGACAGAACACACAGAGAATACGTTACATAGGCAGGTTCATTACTAACAGATAAGCAGCGAGTGAAAACAGAAGCCTACATTTCAATGTGAGCCAGTCCCTCAAGGCTCAGAAAAGCTGCTCGGGACATATGGAGTCACCCCATTTGCAGTGTAGCTGGGGGAAGCCAGAAAGCAGCCCAGCCTGGGTTTTGTACCCTGGAGCCACAGGAAGCACTCAGCTAAAGCACTGCATGACGTCCTCCTCCAGGAAGAACAGGAAGACAGCCCAGGCTGCTCTGGGACGTTCCTCCTGATCTCAGGACGTTGCTGTCTTAGTCCATTTTTGTTGCTCTAAAGGAACACTTGAGCCTGGGCAACTTCTAAAGAAAAGAGATTGGTTTGCCTCACCGTTCTGCAGGCTGTACTGGAAGCATGGCACCAGCATCTATTTCTCGTGATGGCCTCAGGCTGCTCCCACTCTGGCAGAAGGGAAGGAGGGTCTGTCTGTGCAGAGACCACAGAGATCACACGGCAAGAGAGGGAGCAAGGGGGAGGGGGAGCGATGGAGCTTCCAAGTTCTTTTGAACAACCAGCTCTCCAGGAACTAATAGAGGGGGAACTAGCTAACCCCGTCTCCTTGGGACAGCATTGATCTGTTCATGATGGATCCACCTCCATGACCCAAACACCTCTCAAGAGGCCCAACCTCCCACAATGGGGGTGAAATTTCAATGTGAGGTTTGAAGGGGTCAAACATCTCAACTAAAGTAGTTGTGTCCTCAGCACATTCTATGGTTACTTTGAGAGCTATAACTGAGAAAGCAGGAGAAAGCTGGGTCTCCCGCCATCTGGGTGCTTGTCCTAAAGAGGTGTTTTACGTGGTTACCTGTCAATCAAGAAATGCGAGACAATTCATAAAGAGGAACTGCTATGATTAGCTTCTTATTGGTGTCTCATCTTCTTCCAGGTAACCCAAGACACCTGCACGTTCTGATTGGGACCTCAGTGGTCATCATCCTCTTCATCCTCCTCCTCTTCTTTCTCCTTCATCGCTGGTGCTCCAACAAGAAAAGTAAGTCTCACGAAGGAGAGGCCAGAGAGCTCAGGGCCATGTGGGGAAGCAGGATGGGAGCACTCAGGTGTGTGTTCCTCACAGGTAGGATGGTCCCTGGCCCAAGGCAGCAGCCACAGAGGCAGGACTTTCTAGAGAGGGCACCAGACTCCCTGTCCCTGCTTTCAGCTCACAGACCGTTGCCTGATTCTGAACTGTATCCTCATGTCCCCTGCAGCCACTCACATCCAGGAGAAGGTTCCATGACAGGCAGAAAGTGGGAGACAGAATCAATGGGATGGGAACTCAGAGCTATTCATGGGATGGGTCCTTGAGCTCAGAGAGATAGAATGTCTGAGTCTGCTGTTGGCAACTGAGGGACCTCAGGCACCTATGGCCTCCCCCTGTTTGTTGGTATCTGCTTATGAAATGAGGACCCAGAAGTGCCCTCCGAGCTCTTTTGTTGACTTCCGTCTCCTACACATGCTGCTGTAATGGACCAAGAGCCTGCAGGGAACAGAACAGCGAATAGCGAGGTAGGTGCTCCTCGGCCCAGCCTCGTGGCTAGTGTTATTCCCAAACAGTCCTGGAAAACGTGAGCACCCTCCCTCACTCAGGATTTCCCTCTCTCCAGGACTCTGATGAACAAGACCCTCAGGAGGTGACATACGTACAGTTGGATCACTGCGTTTTCACACAGAGAAAAATCACTCGCCCTTCTCAGAGGCCCAAGACACCCCCAACAGATACCAGAGTGTACACGGAACTTCCAAATGCTGAGTCCAGATCCAAAGTTGTCTCCTGCCCATGAGCACCACAGTCAGGCCTTGAGGGGATCTTCTAGGGAGACAACAGCCCTGTCTCAAAACCGGGTTGCCAGCTCCCATGTACCAGCAGCTGGAATCTGAAGGCGTGAGTCTGCATCTTAGGGCATCGCTCTTCCTCACACCACAAATCTGAATGTGCCTCTCTCTTGCTTACAAATGTCTAAGGTCCCCACTGCCTGCTGGAGAGAAAACACACTCCTTTGCTTAGCCCACAATTCTCCATTTCACTTGACCCCTGCCCACCTCTCCAACCTTACTGGCTTACTTCCTAGTCTACTTGAGGCTGCAATCACACTGAGGAACTCACAGTTCCAAACATACAAGAGGCTCCCTCTTAACACGGCACTTAGACACGTCCTGTTCCACCTTCCCTCATGCTGTTCCACCTCCCCTCAGAGTATCTTTCAGCCTTCTGTCAGCAGTAAAACTTATATATTTTTTAAAATAATTTCAATGTAGTTTTCCCTCCTTCAAATAAACATGTCTGCCCTCATGGTTTCGGTAATGGGACTCTTTTCTTGCCTAAGACTTCCATTATCATTACCATGTCCACATAACCCCATCTGTTCTCCACTGGGTTCTCACCCCCGGACTCTGAGTTTCTGGAAGCAGGGTGGAGCCTCATTTGTCTCTGGGACTCCTATTTCCATCCAAAGATGTAGCACATAGGAGGTTCCAAGGATCGTGAATCACATGAACAAGTGATATTCTTACTCTCTGCAGACCTGGAAATCTGGCAGAGTCATTCCAAGATGAAACATTTGTAGAATCATAGGCCTTGTTAGTCTCATCTACACAGGGACACATATCAACACATCATCTTTCACACTATAAATATACAGTCACTCCTCCATATCTGTGGGGTTTACAGTTCTTTATTGAACCGAGTATAAATCAAAAATATTCAGAGAAAGTATCCACAGAGTTACAAAAAGCAGAACTGTGTTGAATGGACACAAATGAAGCTGTGTGTAGGCTGCATCAGGAATTATAAGTAATCTAGAGATGATTTCATGTATACAGGAGGATGTGCATAGGTTATTTGCAAACTCTGTGCCATTTCATATAAGAGGCTTGAGCATCTACAGATTTTGGTATCTGAGTGGAGATCTCGAAACCAATCACCCACGAATAGTGAAGGATGACCGTATATGACTTTTATTTCTCAAATTTAAATATAAATCATAAAAAATGTACAACTAGATAAAAACTAAGAAGTGTTTTTATAGTGTGAGTTAGATTTATTTTTTCCTAGGTATAACCCATTGGTTTAATATTATTTATTGAGAAGACATTCTATGCCACCTTAAACCACACGGCAGCCTTTGTCAACTCTAAAGGGACTGTGTGTACACGGATGTACTTTAGACACTGTTTCTGCTAAGGGGCTCTCTGTGTCCACACTCTTGATGATGCTGCACTTTATGTAGCCTTATAGAACCCTTTAAATTTAGTAGCCAGAGCTCTCTAATTTGTTATTATAGGCTATTTGCTTTTTTTTCTTGAGGCGGAGTCTTGCTCTGTCGCCCAGGCTGGACTGCAGTGACACAATCTCAGCTCACTGCAACTTCTGCCTCCCAGGTTCAAGCGATTCTCATGCCTCAGCCTCTTGAGTAGCTGGCGTTACAGGTGCCTGCCACCAGGCACGGCTAATTTTTGGATTTTTAGCAGAGACACGGTTTCACTATATTGGCCAGGCTGCTCTCAAACTCCTTATCTCAGTTGATCCGCCCACCTCGGCTTCCCAACGTGCTGGGGAAACTTGATTTTCTATAGCATTATGTTACTGGATATTTCTGTAAAATTTAAAATGAGGGAGGGAGAGAGACAGACGGAAAACAAACTCCAGAGTTGGGACTCTGGAATCTTGGGTCATGAGACAAATTTTAGATTAAACTACAAAACTCCAGAATTTACAGGTGGGGTTTTTACTGATAAAGTACAATTCTAAGATTGTAAATAATTGCATAATCCTTCCCTGGGAATTTAAATCATTTTAACTGGTTCTGCTGTAATACTAGAAATACAAGCATGAAAAATTCTAATGGTTTATTAGTGACAATGACTCTGAAAACATTAATAATACCTATTAGATATTTTGCATATTACACAGGAAGAAGAGTTTGAATCTCAGATAAAAACAATAGAAATACATGAAAAGTCTTTCATGTTAGCACAGATTTTAGGCATCTCGTGTTCGGGAGGTTGGATCTCAGACGTGTTTTGAGTTGGTCATAGTGAAGGACACTAGGTGTCAAATTCTAGCGAGAACAATTTCCAGGAAGCCGTGTTCCGCTCTTGAGCGAGCACCCACTGGGCCTCATGCAAGGTAGAAAGAGCCTGCGTACGTCACCCTCCCATGATGTGGTCAACATGTAAACTGCATGGGCAGGGCGCCAAATAACATCCTGTGCGCTGCTGAGCTGAGCTCGGTCGCGGCTGCCTGTCTGCTCCGGCAGCACCATGTCGCTCTTGGTCGTCAGCATGGCGTGTGTTGGTGAGTCCTGGAAAGCAATAGAGGGAGGGAGTGAGGGGATGGAGATCTGGGCCCAGAGGTGGAGATATAGGCCTGGAGGTGGAGTTATGGGCCTGGAGTGGAGATCTGGGCCTGGAGTGGATATATGGGCCTAGAGATGGAGTGATGGGCCTAGAAGTGGAGATCTGGGCCCAGAGGTCGAGATATAGGCCTGGAGGTGGAGTGATGGGACTGTAGTGGAGATCTGGGCCTGGAGTGGAGATAGGAACCTGGAGGGGAGATAGGAACCTGGAGGGGAGATATGGGCCTGGAGGTGGAGATATGGGCCTGGAGTGGAGTCATGGGCCTGGAGGTGGAGTTATGGGCCTGCAGTAGAGATATGGGCCTGAAGTGGAGACATGGGCCTGGAGTGGAGATATGGGCCAGGAGTGGAGATATGGGCCTAGAGGTCGATATCTGGGCCTGGAGTGGAGATATGGGCCAGGAGTGGAGATATGGGCCTAGAGGTCGATATCTGGGCCTGGAGAGGAGATATGTGCCTAGGATGGAGATACGGGCCTGGGTGTGGAGATATGGGACTGGAGAGGATATATGGGCCTGGAGTGGAGATATGGGACTGGAGAGGAGATATGGACCTGGAGTGGAGATAAGGGCCTGGATTGGAGATATGGGCCCAGGGTGGAGATCTGAGCCTGGATTGGAGATATGGGCCTGGATTGGCGATATGGGCTTAGGGTGGAAATATCGGCCTGGAGTGGAGATATGGGCCTGGAGTGGAGATATGGGCTTGAGGTGGGGATATGGACCTGGAGGCTGGGTCTCTGCACAGCCGACAGCCCTGTTCTTGGGTGCAGGTAGGCACTGAGGGTGAGTTTACCTTCAGCCCAGGAAGGGCCTGGCTACCAAGACTCACAGCCCAGTGGGGGCAGCAAGGGTGCCCTGGTTTGCCTGCAGATGGGTCATCCATCATGATCTTTCTTTCCAGGGTTCTTCTTGCTGCAGGGGGCCTGGCCACATGAGGGTGAGTCCTTCTCCCAACCTTCGGGTGTCATCTCCCCACATAAGAGGATTTTCCTGAAATGGGAGGGAAGTCCTGTCAGGGAGTCTCTCATAAACTAGGAAGAAGGGACCCTGGGGTGCTGGGCCCACATTTCTGACCTTGCCTCCCTGGCCTTTCATTCCCTTGGCAGAGTCAAGTTCTGTGGGGACCAGGGTTAGACTACGGTGCTCAAAGCTGGGGTGTGTGGTGGGGAAGTGGTAGGAACAGCAGATCCTCTGAGGACAAAGGTGTTACTCACACACTTCAGCGTTTCCATGACGGTAGGGGCTGCAGTGTGGCTGCTGTCATTCTACCAGAAGAGGTGGGAAAACCACAGCCATGGCCCTGACATTCCAATCCTCTGATGGGGACTCAGTTGTTTATTTTCGTTCAGGCATCGGCTGATATTCCATTCTCAAAGGACATGCCCTCCACCCCATGTCTACCCTGTGTTGTTTTATGTGAGTAATCTTACAGTATTAAAATCTAGTAGGAGTCTCTTACTCAGCACTTGCTCAAAGTTCTCAGCTGACACTTTTGTTGTAGGGAGACACCTTGTGTTTGCGGGATGGGTCCTTCCTTTAGCCCTGGGCACCAAGGTGTGATAGCAGCCATAGAAACTTGGAAAGCGAGGAGAATCTTCAGAGCACAGGGAGGGAGGGGCGGCTCCACATCCTCCTCTCTAAGGCGGTGCCTCCTTCTCCCCACGGTGGTCAGGACAAGCCCTTGCTGTCTGCCTGGCCAAGCCCTGTGGTGCCTCCAGGACATGTGATTCTTCAGTGTCATTCTTATCTTGGGTTTAACAACTTCAGTCTGTAAAAGGAAGATGGGGTGCCTGTCCCTGAGCTCTACAACATAATATTCTGGAACAGCCTTTTCATGGGCCCTGTGACCCCAGCACACGCAGGGACCTATACATGTCGGGGTTCACAACCACACTACCCCAGTGGGTGGTCGGCACCCAGCAACCCCCTGGAGATCACGGTCACAGGTCAGAGGGCTCCTGTCTGGGATTCTCCTTGTCCCACCTCCTGAATCCCAGAGCTCCTGGTGGGCGTGTCCTTGCGGGTCCCATCATGCAAGTCCTGACTGTATTTGGGGTAAAGGGGGATTGAATACAGGGAAATGGGTGCTGTGGTGGGAAGAATAATTGTCCCCAGTGATGACTACATTCTAATCCCTGGAGTCTGTGACTATTTATGATATAGGGGAAGGGACTGAAGGAGAAGATGGAGCTCAGGTTGTTGATGAGTTGACCTTGAGATGGGGAGACAGCCTGGACTGTCCTGATGGGCTCAGTGTAGTCACAGGGGTCCACATGAAAGGAGGAGGAAGAGGGGAGTGGGGATTACAGCAGCATAATGGGAGTCTCCATCAGCTTTGAAGGTGGAGGAAGTCCAGGAGCCATGAATGCAGGTGGCCTATAGAGGCTGGAAAAGTCAAGGAACTGATTCTCCTGAGTCTCCAGAGGGAACGAAGCCCTGCAGGTGCCTTGATTTTACCCACGACAAACAGGGTCCGATTTCTGTCTCCAGAATTGGAAGGGGTTAGTGTGCTCTCTCCTGGTGCCATGCTTCTGATAATTTTCTACAGCAGCAACAGGAAACCAACACTGGAACCCAGGTCAAGGACAAGTTAAGAAACAACACAAGGATAGCCAGGCATGGTGGCAGGTGCATGTAATCCTAGCGACTTGGGAGGCTGAGGGCAGGAGAATCACTTGAACCCAGGAGACAGAGGTTGCAGTGAGCCTAGACCACACCACTTCACTCCAGCCTGGGCAAAGGAGTGAGACTCTGTCGCCAAAATTAATTAATTAATTAAAGAAACCAAACAAGGAGAAGGTTGGCTACACTGAGATCAGCAAGGCTCAGATGATGATGCCACCACCAGGCTCCATCCACATAGGGAGGGGTTGATACTCCTCCAACCAGCACCAGGAGCCAGCCTATGGAAGCTGGCACTGGCATGGCAAGAGTGGCTCCCAGTCCCTACCAGGAACAGGGTGTGTGGCCACTGGTGCCTGCCTTACTGATCAGTTCATACCTCCTGCCAAGGATTCCAATTCGTCCAAAAGAGATTGAACCAGGCTGCTAAGAGCCTGGATGTGCAGCCTATCCTGGTTCCTCTTCCACCCCCACATAGACAGCAGGAAAGACATTAGTTCGAAATAGATACAACAGCCCAAGAGATGAGGCTGAGCCCAGCGGCAAGGGAATCAGAGGCTACTAGAGACAGAGGGACAGAGAAGAGTGAGGGAGACAGATGGAAGGACCTGCACCAGGAGTTATGGGCACAGAAAAGAACATGAAGACACAGAGAGGAAGGAGAGAGATAAGACACCAGGAAGGGGAAGCCTGACTCAATCCAGGTGCCATGGATGGGATGATAAAGAGAGACACCTTCTAAACTCACAACCTCTCTTCCTAGGAGTCCACAGAAAACCTTCCCTCCTGGCCCACCCAGGTCGCCTGGTGAAATCAGAAGAGACAGTCATCCTGCAGTGTTGGTCAGATGTCATGTTTGAACACTTCCTTCTGCACAGAGAGGGGATGTTTAACGACACTTTGCGCCTCATTGGAGAACACCATGATGGGGTCTCCAAGGCCAACTTCTCCATCAGTCGCATGACGCAAGACCTGGCAGGGACCTACAGATGCTACGGTTCTGTTACTCACTCCCCCTATCAGGTGTCAGCTCCCAGTGACCCTCTGGACATCGTGATCATAGGTGAGAGTGTCCAGACTTTCTTCTCATTGTCATTGGGATGCAGAGTGAATGATCCAGGAATTGGAGACCCAGGTGGCTGTAAGGAAGATGAGCTTGGTATTCTTATGGAGAGAGACTGACTTGGTGAGGTCTGTGCCAACAGAGACAGAGAAACAGGAGACACAAGTAGAGACCAGGTGTCATAACAGAGAACAGACACAGGGGCCATACCGGGAGTTAGAAAAGACAGAAAGAGTTAAAGGAGACACACAGACAGACATGTCCCAGAGAGAGGTGTCCCTCCATGCTGACTTTGCTCAGAGACCTGGCACAGGTTAGAAGTTTCATTTCTGTTTTACCTCCACAAAGTGTTCTCTACCAGGAGAACCCAAGGACACCCATATTTCTGACCTGAGTTGGGCCCTGTGGCCTCAGGCCTTGTGGCACCTACAGATGCCATGTTTATTCTGACACCTCTGCCTTCCATGTAATGGAGAGTAATCGTCCCAGGATATCATGGCCCCACAACACCAACCCCTGTATGCTGTGTGAACTTGTAGTCTCCAGACTGGATTCTGAGGCTCATATTCCAAATAAGCCCACTTATGAGAGGATCAGTGAGAGGCACAGAGAGAAATCAGGGACACCAAAAAGCAAAGACATAAACACACAGAGAATGAGCCAGAGGAAGGAGATTGAGAGACTCACAGACACATAAAGAGAGAGAAAAGAGGGCAGAGGAGTGGTGAGAATGATGGAAGGGAGCAGAGAAAAGCACTAAAATTAGACTCCTGAGGGAGAGGCACAAGGACATTGAAAGATGGAGATGTGGGGATGAATTGCAGAGATTCCAAAGAGAACTAGAGAGACCGAGAGGCAGAGCAAGACAGATGATAGATGGATAGATATAGATAGATGATAAATAGGTAGATGATAGATAATAGGTTATAGATACATAGATGATGATTGATTGATTCATTAATAGATGAGACATAGAGATGATGATGATGAAGACAGATAGATAGATAATACATAGAGATACAGAGGCAGACATAGAGAAATCATAGAGAGAGAGAGATGATACATAGATATAGATAATAGATGATTGATGGATAGATAGACAATTGATGGATAAATAGATGATATATAGATATAGATGACAGGTAGAGAATTTGTAGATAGGCACCGAATAGATAAATAGATAGATCGATAGATAATAGATAGAAATATGCAGAAAGTTATGAACAGGACACAAAGTGAGAAACTCAGAATTAAAAAAAGTAACATCAAGTCAACCAATCCAAGGAGAGTCAGAGAGAATAAAACAATCCAAAAAGAGAAAACATATCTAGAGGTGGGGAAGTGAGGTCAGAGACCTAGAGAGACAGAGAAGGTGGAAGGAGGAAATAGACATGAAGAGCGATGGGGTAGAGGGTGAGAGAGAGAGAGAGAGAGCATTAGGTCATAGAACAGGGGAGTGAGTTCTCAGCTCAGGTGAAGGGAGCTGTGACAAAGAAGATCCTCCCTGAGGAAACTGCCTCTTCTCCTTCCAGGTCTATATGAGAAACCTTCTCTCTCAGCCCAGCTGGGCCCCACGGTTCTGGCAGGAGAGAATGTGACCTTGTCCTGCAGCTCCCGGAGCTCCTATGACATGTACCATCTATCCAGGGAAGGGGAGGCCCATGAACGTAGGCTCCCTGCAGGGCCCAAGGTCAACGGAACATTCCAGGCTGACTTTCCTCTGGGCCCTGCCACCCACGGAGGGACCTACAGATGCTTCGGCTCTTTCCATGACTCTCCATACGAGTGGTCAAAGTCAAGTGACCCACTGCTTGTTTCTGTCACAGGTGAGGAAAGCCCATGGCTGTCCCATGTCCTATGATCCTAGAGCCTTAGCTGAGGAGCTTCCTGCTGAGGATGGAGAGAAGCATGGACAGATGCAGAGAGAAGACGCAGCCTCGGTGTGAGGGAGGGATCAGGGCACAGGATGGCCGACAGGGCACCTCCAAACCCTCCTACATGGCCTGCATGGAGGCCCACGGCCAGGGCTCCAGGCACCCAGGCAGATGGAGAAAGCGGTCAGGAGAGACCCAGAGGAGGGAGACTGGGCTCAGTTTGGGGAGATCAGAGGTTCCCTCAGCCCCTCAACCTTACCCATTTCCCAGAAGCCCATCCTGGCCTCTCACCCACACAGAGATGTCATCACCAGCAACCCCTACACCCTTTACTTTTCTTTGAAGAAATATTTATTGAGGATAAATATACCTATATAGCTTACCACTTTTAACATTTTTTTTTGAGGTGGAGTCTAGCTCTGTCCCCTATGATGGAGTGCAGTGGCACAATCTCAGCTCACTGCAACCTCCGCCTCCTGGGTTCAAGCGATTCTCCTGCCTCAGCCACCTGAGTAGCTAGTGCTACAGGCACGCACCACCACGCCAGGCTACTTTTTGTATTTTTAGTAGAGAGGTGGTTTCACCATGTTGGTCGAGCTGGTCTCGAACTCCTGACCACGTGATCCACCCGCATCAGCCTCCCAAAGTGCTGGGATTACAGGCATGGGCCACCAGGCCCAGCCACATTTACCATTTTTAAGTGTAAAGTCTAGTGGTCATAAATACATTTTTATATATATATATATATACATTTTTTTTACCCTCCACCCTTTTCTTCCTGTCCTCCAGTAGCCACCATTCTACTCTCTACCTTCATGAGATCCACCTTTTAGCTCCTGTATATGGGTGAGAAATGGGAATCTTTTTAATGACCTCCAGTTCCATCCATGTGGCTGCAAATGACAGGATGTTATTCTTTCTATGGATGAGTAGTCTCCACTGTGCGTATGTACTACATTCTCTCTATCCATTCACCCACTGATGGGCAGGTAGGTTGACTCCTCATCTTGGCTACTGTGAACAGTGCTGCACCAATCATACGAGTGCAGATATCACTTCGATATGTTGATTTACTTTCCTTTGGATATAAACCCAGTAGTGAAATTGCTGGATACTATGAAAGTTCTCTTTTTTTTTTTTTTTTCTTTTTTGAGAAAGAGTTTCCCTCCTTAGCCCAAGCTGGAGTCAAAGTGGTGCAACCTTGGCTCATTGCAACCTCCGCCTCCTGGGTTCAAATGATTTTCCTGCCTCAGCCTCCCTAGTAGCTGGGATTACAGGTGCACACCACCATGCCTGGCTACTTTTTGGTTTTTTTAGTATAGATGCGGTTTCCCCATGTTGGCTGGGCTGCTCTCAAACTCATGACCTCAACTGAGGTGCCCGCCTCAGTCTCCCAAAGTGCCGGGATTACAGGCATGATCCACCTCACCCAACCTCTTTTTAGTTCTTTAAAGGACTTCCATACTTTTCTCCGTAATGGCTGTACTAATTTACACTCCTCCCAACAGGGTACCAGGGTTCTCCTTTCTCTACCACCTTGCCAGCATTTCTTTTGCCTGTCTTGCAGCTAAAAGCCATTTTATTTTATTTCATTTTATTTTGAGATGGAGTTTTGCTCTTCTCACCCAGGCTGGAGTGCAGTGGCGCTATCTCGGCTCACCACAACCTCCACCTCCCAGGTTCAAGCGATTCTCCTGCCTCAGCCTCCCGAGTAGCTGGAATTACAGGCACACGCCACCACGCCCTACTAATTTTTGTATTTTTAGTAGAGACAGCGTTTCTCTATGTGGGTCAGACTGGTCTCAAACTCCCAACCTTATGAGATTCACCCACCTCAGGTTCTCAAAGTTCTAGGATGACACAAGTGAGCCACCTCACCCGGCCTAAAAGCCATTTTAATGGGGTGAGATGAAAACTCACTTTGATTTTAATTTGCGTTTCTCTGATGATGAGTGATACTGAGCACTTTTTCGTATGTGGGGAAATTTCATGTCTTTTGCTCCTTTTTCAATTAAATCATTTGTTTTATTGAGTTGTTTGAGCTTCTTATATTTCTAGTTATTAATCCCATCTCAGATGCATAGTTTGCACATATTTGCTCCCAATCTGTGGGTTGTCTCTTCACTTTGTTGGTTTATTTTTAGCAGTGCTGAAGTTGCTTAGTTTGAGGTAATCCCAATGGTCTATTTTTGCTTCGATTACTTGTGTTTTGAAGGTTTAAAACAAAATGTCTTCCTTCAGACAAACGTCCTGGAGCATTTCCCCAATATTTTGTTCTACGTGTTTCATAGGTTCAGGCCTTAGACTCACATCTTTAATCCATTTTCATTTGATTTTTGTGTATGGTGACAGGTAGAGTTGCAGTTTCATTCCTCTGCATGTAGATGTCCAGGTTTCCCTGCACTGTTTATTGAAAAGACTGTCCTTTCCTGATTGTGAGTTCTTGGCATCTTTGTCAAAGTCCATTGGATGGGCTGGGCTTGGTGGCTAACACCTGCAATTTCAGCACTTTGGGAGCCCGAGGTGGGTGGATCACCTGAGGCCAGGAGTTCAAGATTAGTCTGGCCAACGTGATGAAACATCGTCTCCACTAAAAATATAAAAATTAGCTGAGCATGGTGGTCAGCACCTGTAATACCACTACTCAGGAATTTGAGGCAAGAGAATGATTGAACCCAGGAGGCTGAGGTTGCAGTGAACCGAGATTGCACCTCTGCACTCCAGCCTGAGTGACAGAGCAAGACTCCATCTCAAAAGAAAAAATAAAAAACCATTGGATGTAAATGCATGGAATATATCTGTGTTATTCATTCTGCTCCGTTGTTCTATGTGCCTTTCTTTATGCCAATGTCATGCTATTTTGCTTACTACAGCTCTGTAACATATTTTGAGATCAGGTAGTGTGATGCTCCTGTTTTCTCTTTATATCTTGAAGTCTCAAGACAGTGGGTGTCATATAAAAAAATTATGGAAAAAAGGATCCCAGGACTCCCAGGGCTCAATATTAGATAAGAGAGTGTTGGCCATGAACCATCCTCAAAGATTTCCACTGAGTGGAGGACAGACACCCTCATTTCCTCACCTCTCTCCTGTCTCATGTTCTAGGAAACCCTTCAAATAGTTGGCCTTCACCCACTGAACCAAGCTCCAAAACCGGTGAGTACAGAACCCTCTTATATCCGCTTTTGGAACCCTGGGGAGGTGGGAACCTTGGATTCAGGCGTTGACTCAGCATCTCACAGCTCTGACATTGTACACTTGTCTTCCACCATCTCCGAACTCCAGATACTCCTACAGCGAAAGGGATCTGGGCCCAACACAGGGCTCAGTGAAATCTCTTCATCTCTCATTTTATGGAGCTGAGACCTCCTACAAGCTAGAAGAATGATTGCCAATCTGACATCCTTCTCAGGAAAAATGCAATGTTTGTTCTACCTGCATTCCTAACTGGAGGATAAATTCCTGGAGACTTGAGAGAGGGAAGGGAAGGGAACATCTGATGAGGGCAAGGTGTTTTAGAGAAGTTCCACTTGCCAAGGAATGAGCTCCTGTAGGTCATGAAGCAACCCTGGCTGACTCCGCAGAGAAAGAGCCTTGCCGTAACAGAGAACAGAGCTCATGCACGCACACTTCGACTCACTGACTCATTCAGCCACGGCCCCATGCTCAGGCTGTGCAGTGTGGAACCTTTTCCTATTGTTGCCATAACAAATTTCCACAAGATTCGTGGGTGAAAACAAAACGGTTTTTTAATTATCTTACAGTGCTGTAGCTCAAAGTAGGAAGTGCATCTTACTGGGCTAAAATCAAGGTGACAGCAAGGCTGCCTTCCCTCTGAGGATTCCAGGCACGAATCTGCTTCTCACTTGTCCCAGCTTCTAAAGGCTCCCAGTTCCTTGGCTCCTGGTCCCCTTCCTCCTTCCTCAAAGCCCACAAAGACTGGTCACATCTCACATGGCATCACTCAGTGCCTTCTTCCTTACCACACCTCTTTCTCTGAGTGCTGCTCTCCCTTCTTCCTCATCTTTTGAAAACTTGGGGATTCTATTGGGTTCACCAAGATGAAAATCCCTCATAATCTCCTGGAAATCATCCAGGATACCCTTGTTTTAAGTTCAGCTGATTAGCAACCATAATTCCATCTGCAATCTTCATTCCTCCTTTCCATGTAAAATAACATATTCACAAGCTATGGAGGCTAGGACAGGGACATTTTGGGGTGGGACAGCATTCTCCTGCCTTCCACAAACAGTGAACAAGATGCATTTGGCCTCTGCCCTTGGGACACTGATATTGCAGATGGTTAAATGGGAGGGCAGAAAATGAACGCACAAGTGGATCTATAAATGAATGGTCCATTGGGAAGCATCTGTGCATGAAATCTATTTTTTGTTTGTTCTTTTGTTTATTGAGACAGAGTCGCCCTCTGTCTTCCAGGCTACAGTGCAGTGTCACGATCTTGGCTCACTGCAACCTGCGTCTCCTGGATTCAAGTGATTCTCCTGCCTCCGCCTCTCGAGTAGCTGGGATTACAGGCAACTGCCACCGTGCCCGGCTAATTCTTTTTGTATATTTTTTGTAGAGAGGATGTTTCACCACGTTGGCCAAGCTTGTCTGAAACTCCCAACCTCAAGTGATCCGACCGTCTCAGCATGCCAAAGTAATGGGACTACAGGCGTGAGCCACTGTGCCCAGCCAGAATTCAAAATCAATAATAGATAATGCTGAGTGTATGATTTCAGGTGACAAAGAAGGTCTCACTATTCAGATATTTGTGACATTAATGAAAAACACGGAATGAACCCCTGAAAGATTGGCGGAAGGATTTTGCACACACAGCTGTCAGCCATGAAGGCACAAAGGTGAAAACAATCTGATGTGGAAGGAAGAGGCTCTGACTCAAATGCTGGGAATGAGGTGGGGAGAATGACAAGACGACTGTAGAGAGACGGAGAGCACACTGGGTACACAGGAAACTAAGGAGCAACAAGGAGTGTGTGTTTGACACTCACAGCCATTGGATTCACCTCGGGGTAACCAGGAATCCCTACATGATTAATATGACTGACATGAAAATAAGGGAGGCCCAGGTGCATAACTGGAATCTAGGAGACCGTGGAAAAGGCAATTGCCGCCCCACTGGTGAAATGTGGTGCTGATTTAGACACTAAATGAATGAAGTAGATGGATATAAGATATGTTTGTGAGGTAGAATCATTGACTGGAAAGGCTTACTGGGTTTGATTTTCCTACTTGTTTAATCCTCGCTTAATTAATTTCTTTCTGAGATTTATTCATCCTACACATAAATCAATACCTGGCAAAGGAGTGACAGATATATGAGTGGTGGTGGAAATGAAGAGACTTATTATAGCATAATATACAAGTCTGTGAACAGTGGCTCACGCCTGTAACCTAGCACTGCAGGAGGCCAAGGTGGGTGGATTCCATGAAGTCAGGAGTTCCAGACCAGCCTGGCCAACGTGGTGAAACCCTATCTCTACTAAAAATACAAAAATTAGCCGAGCACGATGGTGCATCCCTGTAATCCCAGCTCCTATTCTGGAGGATGAAGCAGGAGAATGACTTCAACCCAGTAGGTGGAGGTTGCAGTGAGTGGAGATTGCATCACTGCACTCCAGCCTGGGGGACACAAGGAGACTCTATCTCAAAAAATAAAAATAAGAAATACATAAATATAATAAAACACACACGAATGACAAAGGCACCTGAATTCCAATCATCGTTTTTCTATTTCTCTATAATTACTTCTTTGATCCTTTATCTTATCCATTAGGCAATGAGCCTAAAACCTCTTCCCTATTTGGCTTTCTGTGAGCATGAGATCATATAGAAAATGTGAAAGCCCGCTGAATCCTCCAGCACAGATCCTGGAATAGAGAAAGTGCTCTGGTCATCACAAAAAAAACTTGCCCACTCACCCAAATCCCCCACCTCACCCCTACTTCCAATCACCTGTGGAGATTCAGATAGACCATGGGGAGGTAAACATTAACACTCCTTGGAGTGAGTCCAGATCTTGGAATCAGAGATCAGCGACAGCACTAGCTCCTGCTCCCCTTTCCTACTAATTCACAGGAGGACAGGTGGTTTTGAAGCAATAGATGGCCGAGGGGGTGGTCCTTCCCCCAGCCTCTCGGGTAGAACAGCAGCCTAATATGTGTCTCCCGAGATCACAAAGAGCAGCAGGTTTCACACGGGCTTCAACACTATTTCCTGGCCGTTTGACATAAGAGAATTCTATTTCGCTTTTTTTATCTTGATTTCACTTTTGTTTTCTTTCCTTGGAGAATGCAAGTTGTTTGATTCAAGAATGCTGTGGATGTAGAAACCCTAAAGCACATTCGCTGTGAATCAATCCCAGTCCAGTCTTCCCAGAGAAGACTCTAAACACCTCCTGGACTGCACCTGGGCCTATGCCAATTCCTATCACTCACCGTCACTCCAGGGAGACAGAACACACAGAGAATACGTTACATAGGCAGGTTCATTACTAACAGATAAGCAGCGAGTGACAACAGAAACCTATATTTCAATGTGACCCAGTCCCTCAAGGCTCAGAAAAGCTCCTCGGGACATATGGAGTCACCCCATTTGCAGTGTAGCTGCGGGAAGCCAGAAAGCAGCCCAGCCTGGGTTTTGTACCCTGGAGCCACAGGAAGCACTCAGCTAAAGCACTGCATGACGTCCTCCAGGAAGAACAGGAAGACAGCCCAGGGTGTTCTGAGACGTTCCTCCTGATCTCAGGAAGTTGCTGTCTTAGGCCATTTTTGTTGCTCTAAAGGAACACTTGAGCCTCGGTAACTTCTAAAGAAAAGAGATTGGTTTGCCTCACCGTTCTGCAGGCTGTACTGGAAGCATGGCACCAGCATCTATTTCTCGTGACGGCCTCAGGCTGCTCCCACTCTGGCAGAAGGGAAGGAGGGTCTGTCTGTGCAGAGACCACAGAGATCACACGGCAAGAGAGGGAGCAAGGGGGAGGGGGAGTGATGGAGCTTCCAAGCTCTTTTTAACAACCAGCTCTCCGGGAACTAATAGAGGGGGAACTTGCTAACCCCGTCTCCTTGGGACAGCATTGATGTGTTCATGATGGATCCACCTCCATGACCCAAACACCTCTCAAGAGGCCCAACCTCCCACAGTGGGGGTGAAATTTCAATGTGAGGTTTGAAGGGGTCAAACATCTCAACTAAAGTAGTCGTATCCTCAGCACGTTCTATGGTTACTATGAGAGCTATAACTGAAAAAGCAGGAGAAAGCTGGGTCTCCTGCCATCTGGGTGCTTGTCCTAAAGAGGTGTTTTATGTGGTTACCTGTCAATCAAGAAATGCGAGACAATTCATAAAGAGGAACTGCTAAGATTAGCTTCTTATTGGTGTCTCATCTTCTTCCAGGTAACCCCCGACACCTGCACATTCTGATTGGGACCTCAGTGGTCATCATCCTCTTCATCCTCCTCTTCTTTCTCCTTCATCGCTGGTGCTCCAACAAAAAAAGTAAGTCTCACGAAGCAGAGGCCAGAGAGCTCAGGGCCATGTGGGGAAGCAGGATGGGAGCACTCAGGTGTGTGTTCCTCACAAACAGGATGGTCCCTGGCCCAAGGCAGCAGCCACAGAGGCAGGACTTTCTAGAGAGGGCACCAGACTCCCTGTCCCTGCCTTCAACTCACAGACCGTTGCCTGATTCTGAACTGTATCCCCATGTCCCCTGCAGCCACTCACATCCAGGAGAAGGTTCCATGACAGGCAGAAAGTGGGAGACAGAATCAATGGGATGGGAACTCAGAGCTATTCATGGGATGGGTCCTTGAGCTCAGAGAGATAGAATGTCTGAGTCTGCTGTTGGCAACTGAGGGACCTCAGCCACCTATGGTCTCCCCCTGTATGTTGGTATCTGCTTATGAAATGAGGACCCAGAAGTGCCCTCCGAGCTGTTTTGTTGACTTCCATCTTCTACAGATGCTGCGGTAATGGACCAAGAGTCTGCAGGAAACAGAACAGCGAATAGCGAGGTAGGTACTCCTCGGCCCGGGCTCGTGGCTACTGTTATTCCCAAAGAGTCCTGGAAAATGTGAGCACCCTCCCTCACTCAGCATTTCCCTCTCTCCAGGACTCTGATGAACAAGACCCTCAGGAGGTGACATACACACAGTTGAATCACTGCGTTTTCACACAGAGAAAAATCACTCGCCCTTCTCAGAGGCCCAAGACACCCCCAACAGATATCATCGTGTACACGGAACTTCCAAATGCTGAGTCCAGATCCAAAGTTGTCTCCTGCCCATGAGCACCACAGTCAGGCCTTGAGGGCGTCTTCTAGGGAGACAACAGCCCTGTCTCAAAACCGGGTTGCCAGCTCCCATGTACCAGCAGCTGGAATCTGAAGGCGTGAGTCTGCATCTTAGGGCATCGATCTTCCTCACACCACAAATCTGAATGTGCCTCTCTCTTGCTTACAAATGTCTAAGGTCCCCACTGCCTGCTGGAGAAAAAACACACTCCTTTGCTTAACCCACAGTTCTCCATTTCACTTGACCCCTGCCCACCTCTCCAACCTAACTGGCTTACTTCCTAGTCTACTTGAGGCTGCAATCACACTGAGGAACTCACAATTCCAAACATACAAGAGGCTCCCTCTTAACGCAGCACTTAGACACGTGTTGTTCCACCTTCCCTCATGCTGTTCCACCTCCCCTCAGACTAGCTTTCAGTCTTCTGTCAGCAGTAAAACTTATATATTTTTTAAAATAACTTCAATGTAGTTTTCCATCCTTCAAATAAACATGTCTGCCCCCATGGTTTCGGTAATGGGACTCTTTTCTTGCCTAAGGCTTCCGGTGTTATCAGTACCATGTCCATATAATCCCATCTGTTCCCCACTGAGTTCTCATCCCCGGACTCTGAGTTTCTGGAAGCAGGGTGGAGCCTCATTTGTCTCTGGGACTCCAATTTCCATCCAAAGATGTAGCACATAGGAGGTTCCAAGGATCACGAATCATATGAACAAGTGATACTCTTACTCTCTGCAGACCTGGAAAGCTGGCAGAGTCATTCCACAATGAAACATTTGTAGAATCATAGGCCTTGTTAGTCTCATCTCCATGGGGACACATATCAACACATCATCTTTCATAATATAAATATACGGTCACTCCTCCATATCTGCGGGGTTTACAGGTGTTTATTGAACCAAGTATAAATCAAAAATATTGAGAGAAAGTATCCACAGAGTTTCAAAAAGCATAACTATGTTGAATGGACACAAATGAAGCTGTGTGTAGGCTGTATCAGGAATTATAAGTAATCTAGAGATGATTTCATGTATACAGGAGGATGTGCATAGGTTATTTGCAAACGCTGTGCCATTTCATATAAGAGGCTTGAGCATCTACAGATTTTGGTATCTGAGTGGAGATCTCAAAACCAATCACCCACGAATAGTGAAGGATGACCGTATATGACTTTTATTTCTCAAATTTAAATATAAATCATAAAAAATGTACAACTAGATAAAAACTAAGAAGTGTTTTTATAGTGTGAGTTAGATTTATTTTTTCCTAGGTGTAACCAATTGGTTTAATATTATTTATTGAGAAGACATTCTATGCCACCTTAAACCACACGGCAGCCTTTGTCAACTCTAAAGGGACTGTGTGTACATGGATGTATTTTAGACACTGTTTCTGCTAAGGGGCTCTCTGTGTCCACACTCTTGATGATGCTGCACTTTATGTAGCCTTATAGAACCCTTTAAATTTAGTAGCCAGAGCCCTCTAATTTGTTATTATAGGCTGTTTGCTTTTTTTTTCTTGAGGCGGAGTCTTGCTCTGTCGCCCAGGCTGGACTGCAGTGGCACAATCTCAGCTCACTGCAACCTCCGCCTCCCAGGTTCAAGCGATTCTCGTGCCTCAGCCTCTTGAGTAGCTGGCGTTACAGGTGCCTGCCACCAGGCACGGCTAATTTTTGGATTTTTAACAGAGACACGGTTTCACTATATTGGCCAGGCTGCTCTCAAACTCCTTATCTCAGTTGATCCGCCCACCTCGGCTTCCCAACGTGCTGGGGAAAACTTGATTTTCTATAGCATTATGTTACTGGATATTTCTGTAAAATTTAAAACGAGGGAGGGAGAGAGACAGACAGAGAGCAAACTCCAGAGTTGGGACTCTGGAATCTTGGGTCATGAGACAAATTTTAGATTAAACTACAAAACTCCAGAATTTACAGGTGTGGTTTTTGCTGATAAAGTACAATTCTAAGATTGTAAATAATTGCATAATCCTTCCCTGGGAATTTAAATCATTTTAGCTGGTTCTGCTGTAATACTAGAAATACAAGCATGAAAAATTCTAATGGTTTATTAGTCACAATGACTCCGAAAACATTAATAATACCTATTAGATACTTTGCATATTACACAGGAAGAAGAGTTTGAATCTCAGATAAAAACAAAAAAAATACATGAAAAGTCTTTCATGTTAGCACAGATTTTAGGCATCTCGTGTTCGGATAAAAATACATGAAAAGTCTTTCACGTTAGCACAGATTTTAGGCATCTTGTGTTCGGGAGGTTGGATCTGAGACGTGTTGTGAGTTGGTCATAGTGAAGGACGTGAGGTGCCAATTCTAGTGAGAACAATTTCCAGGAAGCCGTGTTCCGCTCTTGAGCAAGCATCCACTGGGCCTCATGCAAGGTAGAAAGAGCCTGCGTACGTCACCCTCCCATGATGTAGTCAACATGTAAGCTGCATGGGCAGGGCGCCAAATAACATCCTGTGCGCTGCTGAGCTGAGCTGGGGCGCGGCCGCCTGTCTGCACCGGCAGCACCATGTCGCTCATGGTCGTCAGCATGGCGTGTGTTGGTGAGTCCTGGAAAGGAATAGAGGGAGGGAGTGCCACATCCTCCTCTCTAAGGTGGCGCCTCCTTCTCCCCCAGGTGGTCAGGACAAGCCCTTCCTCTCTGCCTGGCCCAGCCCTGTGGTGTCTGAAGGAGAACATGTGGCTCTTCAGTGTCGCTCTCGTCTTGGGTTTAACGAATTCAGTCTGTCCAAAGAAGACGGGATGCCTGTCCCTGAGCTCTACAACAGAGTATTCCGAAACACCGTTTTCATAGGCCCTGTGACCCCAGCACATGCAGGGACCTACAGATGTCGGGGTTCACACCCACACTTCCTCACTGGGTGGTCAGCACCCAGCAACCCCCTGGTGATCATGGTCACAGGTCAGAGGGCTCCTGTCTGGGATTCTCCTTGTCCCACCTCCTGAGTCCCAGAGCTTCTGGTGGGAGTGTCCACCAGCGTCCCATCATCCAGACCCTAACTGTATTTGGGGTAAAAGGGGATTGAATACAGGGAAATGGGTGCTGTGGTGGAAAGAATAATTGTCCCCAATGATGACTGCATTCTAATCCCTGCAGTCTGTGACTATTTATGTTATAGGGGAAGGCACTGAAGGGGAAGATGGAGCTCAGGTTGTTGAGTTGACCTTGAGATGGGGAGACAGCCTGGACTGTCCTGCTGGGCTCAGTGTAATCACAAGGGTGCACATGAGAGGAGAAGGAAGAGGGGAGTGGCGATTAGAGCAGTGCAATGGAAGTCTCCATCAGCTTTGAAGGTGGAGGAAGGCCATGAGCCATGAATGCAGGTGGCCTATAGAGGCTGGAAAAGTCAAGGAACTGATTCTCCTGGGTCTCCAGAGGGAACGCAGCCCTGCAGATGCCTTGATTTTAGCCCTCAAAAAACAGGGTCCGATTTCTGTCTCCAGAAACGGAAGGGGTCAGTGTGCTCTCTCCTGCTGCCATGCTTCTGATAATTTTCCACAGCACCAACAGGAAACCAACACTGGAACCCAGGTCAAGGACAAGATAAGAAAGGACACAAGGATAGCCGGGCGTGGTGGCAGGTGCATGTAATCCTAGCAACTCAGGAGGCTGAGGGCAGGAGAATCACTTGAACCCAGGAGACAGAGGTTGCAGTGAGCCTAGACCACACCACTTCACTCCAGCCTGGGTGAAGGAGTGAGACTCTGACTCCAAAATTAATTTATTAATTAAAGAAACCAAACAAAGAGAAGGTTGGCTACACCGAGATCAGCAAGGGTGGGATGATGATGCCACCACCAGGCTCCATCCACATAGGGAGGGGTTGATACTCCTCAAACCAGCACCAGAAGCCAGCCTATGGAAGCTGGCACCATGGAGAAGGCACAGGCATGGCAAGAGTGGCTCCCAGTCCCCACCAGGAACAGGGTGTGTGGACACTGGTGCCTGCCTTACTGATCAGTTCATACCTTCTGCCAAGGATTCCAATTCGTCCAAAAGAGATTGAACCAGTCTGCTAAGAGCCTGGACGTGCAGCCTATCCTGGTTCCTCTTCCACCCCCACATAGAAGCAGGAAAGACATTAGTTCGAAATAGATACAACAGCCCAAGAGATGAGGCTGAGCCCAGCGGCAAGGGAATCAGGAGCTACTAGAGACAGAGGGACAGAGAAGAGGGAGGGAGACAGATGGAAGGACCTGTACCAGGAGTTATGGGCACAGAAAAGAACATGAAGACACAGAGAGGAAGGAGAGAGATAAGACACCAGCGAGGGGAAGCCTCACTCATTCTAGGTGCCATGGATGGGATGATAAAGAGAGATGCCTTCTAAAGTCACAACCTCTCTTCCTAGGAGTCCACAGAAAACCTTCCCTCCTGGCCCACCCAGGTCCCCTGGTGAAATCAGAAGAGACAGTCATCCTGCAATGTTGGTCAGATGTCATGTTTGAGCACTTCCTTCTGCACAGAGAGGGGAAGTTTAATGACACTTTGCGCCTCACTGGAGAGCTCCATGATGGGGTCTCCAAGGCCAACTTCTCCATCGGTCGCATGACGCAAGACCTTGCAGGGACCTACAGATGCTACGGTTCTGTTCCTCATTCCCCCTATCAGTTGTCAGCTCCCAGTGACCCTCTGGACATCGTGATTACAGGTGAGAGTGTCTGGACATTATTCTCATTGTCACTGGGACACAGAGTGAATGATCCACGACTTGGAGGCCCAGGTGGTTATAAGGAAGATGAGCTTGGTATTCTTATGGAGAGAGACTAACTTGGTGAGGTCTGTACCAACAGAGACAGAGAAACAGGAGACACAAGTACAGACCAGGTGTCATAACAGAGGACAGACACAGGGGCCATACAGGGAGTTAGAAAAGACAGAAAGAGTTAAAGGAGACACAGACAGACATGTGCCAGAGAGAGGTGTCCTTCCATGCTGACTTTGCTCAGAGACCTGGCACAGGTTAGAAGTTTCATTTCTGTTTTACTTCCACAAAGTGTTCTCTACCAGAAGAACCCAAGGACACCCATATTTCTGGCCTGAGTTGGGCCCTGTGGCCTCAGGCCTTCTGGCACCTACAGATGCCGTGTTTATTCTGACACCTCTGCCTTCCATGCAATGGAGAGTAATCGTCCCAGGATATCATGGCCCCAGAACATCAACCCCTGTATACTGTGTGAACTTGCGGTCCCCAGACTGGATTCTGAGGCTCACATTCCAAATAACCCCACATATGAGAGGATCACTGAGAGACACAGAGAGAAATCAGGGACACCAAAAAGCAAAGACATAAACACACAGAGAATGAGCCAGAGGAAGGAGATTGAGAGACTCACAGACACATAAAGAGGGAGAAAAGAGGGCAGAGAAGTGGAGAGAACAATGGAAGGGAACAGAGAAAAGCACTAAAATTAGAGTCCTGAGGGAGAGACACAAGGACATAGAAAGATGGAGATGTGGGGATGAATTGCAGAGATTCCAAAGAGAACTAGAGAGACCGAGAGGCAGAGCAAGACAGATGATAGATGGATAGATATAGATAGATGATAAATAGGTAGATGATAGATAATAGGTTATAGATACATAGATGATGATTGATTCATTCATTGATTAATCGATGATACATAGAGATGATGAAGATGAAGATAGATAGATAATACATAGAGATAGAGAGGCAGACAAAGAGAAATCATAGAGAGAGAGAGACGATACATAGATATAGATAATAGATGATTTTTGGATAGACAATTGATAGATAAATAGATTATATATAGATATAGATGACAGGTAGAGAATTTGTAGATAGGCACCAAATAGATAAATAGATATATCGATAGATAATAGATAGAAATATGCAGAAAGTTATGAACAGGACACAAAGTGAGAAACTCAGAATTTAAAAAAAGTAACATCAAGTCAACTAGTCCAAGGAGAGTCAGAGAGAATAAAACAATCCAAAAAGGGAAAACATATCTAGAGGTGAGAAAGTGAGGTCAGAGACCTAGAGAGACAGAGAAGGTGGAAAGAGGAAATAGACATAAAGAGAGATGGTGTGGAGGGTGAGACAGAGAGAGAGAGCATTAGGCCATAGAGCAGGGGAGTGAGTTCTCAGCTCAGGTGGGAGGGGAGTTGTGACAAGGAAGAACCTCCCTGAGGAAACTGCCTCTTCTCCTTCCAGGTCTATGTGGGAAACCTTCTCTCTCAGCCCAGCCGCGCCCCATGGTTAAGGCAGGAGAGAGCGTGACCTTGTCCTGCAGCTCCCGGAGCTCCTATGACATCTACCATCTATCAAGGGAGGGGGAGGCTCATGAACTTAGGTTCCCTGCAGTGCCCAAGGTCAATGGAACCTTCCAGGCCAACTTTCCTCTGGGCCCTGCCACCCACGGAGGGACCTACAGATGCTTCGGCTCTTTCCGTGACTCTCCCTACGAGTGGTCAGACCTTAGTGACCCACTGCTTGTTTCTGTCACAGGTGAGGAAACCAGTCTGTTCCCCAAATAGTGGGACTCAGATGGACTACAATGGCCACATTCAGGGGAGCCTCAGATGGAGGGGGTGGCCATGGGGGTGTCAGCCAGAGATGCTGGACAGAAGAGACACAAAGCAAACATACAGAAAGAGGCATAGACAGACAGACAGAGCGAGGCAGACAGATCACATTAGGGTTTGGGGTGGTAACTGCAACCCTACCTGAAGCTTGCAGATAGAGCACAGGCCACATAAACCACTTCCCAGTCTTTGTACAGAAGCCCACCTGGGACACATGTAAACAGCATCAATGCTGACTCAGGAGCATGAAAGGCCGGGCTCAGATTGGAAAGACTAGAGGTAGCATTGGCCGCCCGCCATTGCCCATTTCCAGAAGCCCCCACCTCTCACCAAAGAGTGATTTCCACATGGGGGGCACAGATGCAACCATCGTTGGGGGAGCCCCAATGTCTCTTGATGGGAGGCATTTTCCACCCTAGATGTTTTTTGCTCTCTCCACACCTTGGAGACTCAGTGGGGGAGTCTTCTCTGGGGACTCGGGGAGGGCCTCCCTGGGACTCGCAGGATTTCCAAGCTAGATGACAACATGACAGGTGGAAACAGGCCCATTCCTTCGCCAGGGGCCCCAAGCTCCATCCCAGGAGATGAGAAGAGGCTCTTCTCATTGGTCAGTGGATCCCTGAGGGGACAGAGGCTCAGCACTGAAGGCTGAGAAGGATCTGCCACTTCGCTCAGTGGCCTCAAGCCAGACATCTTCCCTACAGACTTGCAGTGATTCTCCATCAGCATTTAGGGCTGTGGCCACCAACCTGGGTGTTGGTCTGTAGGAACTTTTCATTTCTGACCTTCCATAACTGAGTTCTCTTCCTAAATGTGGAATGCCTTGTACTCCATGTTACTCTCTCCCCAGAAAGAATGTGTGGCTTGTCTGCTCTCCAGCCCTGTCATGGAGATTGATAATCCTTAGGGAGCAAGAGGAGAGGGAAAGAACAAAGTATGAGACCACCTAGGTGCTACTGGTTGAGGTTCCATTTGCCAGTGAAGGGACTTCACTCAGCCGAGGGGGCAACTCAGGGAAGTCAGCCGAGGGAGGGCATTAGAGTAGAGAGAACTGAGCTCACCCAGTAAATGACCCCTTCACTAACTCATTCATCTAATATTTATTTCACACCTACCATCAGTTCTCTCTGTTTCATGGCCAGGAGTAGACAGCACGGCCAAGCTCCTGGGTTCATGATGCTCACATTGCTGTGGGGTGGGAGAGAGAGGCAGAACATGAATGAATGAATGAGAGAATGAATGAATGAGTGAATGATGGAATGAGTGAATGAATGAATGAATGAATGTATGAATTAGTGAGTGAATCCTTAGCACTTGGTGAAAGTGCCATGCACAGAATGAAATGAATGAACGTGGAACGTTGTCATTTGGAGTGTACAGGAGGGAACGTCTCACTGAGACCTCATCAGAGAGATCACATTTAAACTCCGATCTTAGAGACAAGAGGGAGTGAGCCCTGGGGAGTGTGTTGAAAGGAACTTTCATGGACTTAGGACATTGGGGATGACCCTAATGTGAGAATGAGCTTGGTGTGTTCCAAGAAGTCCATGGACCTGCCATATGGTGAGGGCTGGTCAGAATCCAGAGAGATTTCTAAATGCCCTTGTGCTTGTAAGGAAAGTGAGTCCTGTGGTTGGGAGTGGACTTATACCTTGGGTCAGGTCCAGCAATTATCTTTCTAAATCCTCTCTAATTGCCTGAACCACTTCTATCAACAACTGAGAAAAGAGGAGTGTTAAACACCCCACTGTGGCCGTGGATTTGCCTACCTGTCCATTTATTTCCGCGACTCTTCCTCCATGTATATTTGCAGGAATATTACTGGGAGTGGTTAAGTGTAAACTGATTATATATTCCTGGTAAATTTAAAATGCTATAAATTTACCTGCTTTTTTCCTACATTTTATGCTTAATGTTTTCCGCTGATTTTTCCCAAAGACTAATTTTGTCTAATTTTAATATAGTTATACCACATTTCTAACAGTGATTGCTTGGTATATTTCTACATTGTTTAATTTCAAACTCCATGAATTGTTAACATTGAGATGTGTCCTTTGTAAATTTCAAACAATTCGCCTTAGAAAGTAAGACTTTCTGACAATCTTTTGTTCATGTTTGAGCAGTTCTTCCAATCATATTTTTGTTATTATTACGTTGTGTTTTCCTGATTCCCTTTTTTTCCCACTGACTTCTGTGGTTTTCTATTTCAAACATTCTATTTTTGATCTATGTCGTTTAGGAATACATATATGGTGTACTCATCCTGAAGTTGTTACATATTTTTAAAATTGAAATTAATCATTTCAGAGATTAAACTGCAAATATAAAAACATATTTCCACTCTTCCTGTGTAAGAACAGGATTTTAGAGCATATTTAGTACATATGTTTGTATTTACTTATATGATGTTTTGTTTTGTGGTATACATAATTCTATCTTTTTCAGAAATTACACAGGGGCGTGTTTTCATACACTATCGTATGGTCCATATTCATTTTTGGCATAGCCATATTTTTAGTTCTTCCTCTGCTCTTAGTTATTGTCAGAATCTTCGACACCCCATCTGGTTTCACTTTCTTTATCTTTGAGGCACGGTCATCAGAATTTCCTTTAGGGTCAGTGAGAAAAGCTTTCTTTGCCCTTTTGTCTTTCAGTTCTGTTTCTTTCCTGCGTTGATCTTGGACAGTAACTGTACTATGTAAGGAATTGTCGGTGGCTGGCGACGGTATCTTAGCTGGGTAAAGATGCTATTCTACTGGCTTATGTTTTCCTTTTTTCTGTGGGGAAGACAATGCTTGGCTCCCTATAAATCCTTACCAGCTGATCCTTTTCCTCTGGCTAATTTTAAGGGTTGGTTGTGCTTTTATGCTGCTTTTCTGTAATGTTGAACGTGAGGTGTGTTTACTTCATTCTGCCTGGCATTCACTGGATTTCTTGAACCTGTGGATTGATGGATGTGTCTACTTCCTCCAAATAATCAACAATTGCCTCTTTAAAGATTGCTTCTGACCTGTTTTCTCGTTCTTTCTTTTTGGAACTCAAGTTAGGAGCATTCTAAAACTGTTGTCAATTTTTACCCTGTCACAAAACTGCTCTTTCTTGTTTCAGTTATTTGCTTTTTCTGTGCATTAATATTGATGGTTTCCTCTGTCATAGAGGATAAATACTCTCTTCACTGTTGTGTACACAACATTTTAACTAGTTATTCTGGTTTAAATTTAATATTGACTTTATCTACATATCACAATTGATTACTGTGTACAGACTTTCTTTTCTATTAGTATAAATTTATGAGGTACACTTGTAATTTTGTGACATGAGTATGTTGCAGAGTAGTGAAGTCAGGACTTTTACTATATCCATCACCCAAATACCGTACATTGTACTCATTAAGCAAATTCTCATCACTCACCCACGTCCCGCCACCCTCCAGCCTTCTAGCCTCCGCTGTCCGTCATTCCACACTCTACGTCCATATGTACACATTACTCCCCTCCCATGTAGAGTGAGAAGATGTGGTATTTGTCTTTCTGAGTGGTTTTATGTAAAATAATGGCGTCCAGCTCCATCTATGTTGCTGCAAAAGACATGGTTTTATTTTTATGACCAAATAGTATTTCGTTGTGTATACACGCATCCTTTTTTTAATCCAATCATTCATTCACAGACACTTAGATTGATTTCATATCTTTGCTATTGCAAACAGTGCTGCAATAAACATACAGGTGCAGGTATTTTTTGAGTAGATACCCAGCAGCGGGACCCCTAGATCGAATGGTGCTTCTATTTTTGGTTCTCTGCCAAATTTCCATACTGTCTTCCATAGAGGCTATACTAATTTACATACCGGCCAACAGTGTATAAGAGTTTCCTTTTCTCTGCATCCTTGCCAACACCTGTTATATGTTTCACTTTTTCTTTTTTTCTTTTTGAGATGGAGTCTTCCACTGTCACCCAGGCTGGAGTGCAGTGCCGCCATCTCCACGCGCTGCAACCTCCACCAACCAGGTTCAAATGATTCTCCTGCCTCAGCCTCCTGAGTAGCTGGGATTACAGAACCACACCACCATGCCCAGCTAATCTTTTGTATATTTAGTAGAGATGGGGTTTCACTATGTTGGTCAGGCTGGTCTCAAACTCCTGACCTCATGATCCACCCGCCTCAGCTTCCCAAAGTGCTGGGATTACAAGCGTGAGCCACCACTCCCCACCAGCATTTTTAGTAATAGCCATTCTGACTACTGTAAGATGATATCTCATTGTGGTTTCAATTTGCATTTCTCTGATGATTAGTGATGTTCATACGCTGTTTGGCCATTCGTATGTCTTCTTTTGAAAAATGTCTATGTATATCCCTTTGCCCACTTTTTAATGCTATTATTTGAGGGGTTATGTTTAGTTGTTTGAGTTGCCTAGAAATTCTGGATGTTAGTCCTCTGTTGGGTGCATAGTTTGCAAACATTTCCATTCATTCTGTGGGTTGTCTGTTCACCCTGCTACTATTTCCTTTGCTTGGCAGAAGCTCTTTCGTTTATTAAGTCCCATTGGTCTAGTTTTATTTTTATTGCCTGTGCTTTTGAGGTCTTAGTGATGAATTCTTTGCCCAGACCAATGCCCAGAAGAGTTTCTCTTTGGGTTTCCACCGGTGATTTTATAGTTCTGGATTTACATTTAAGCTGCTAATTACCTTAAGTTAATTTATGTGTATGATTACAGATACAGGTCCAGTTTTATTCTTCTGCATATGGCTATTTAGTTTTCCCAGCACCTTTTATTGAAAAGGAAATCTTTCTCCAGTGTATGTTTTGTTAACGTCGTCAATGATTATTCACTGTAGATATGAGGCTGTATTTCTGGGCTCTCTATTCTGGTCTATTGATCTCTGTTTCTGTGTCTATACCAGCACTGTGCTATTTAAGTTACTATAGCCTTAGAGCATAGTTTGAAGTCAGATAGCGTGATGCCTCCAGGTTTCTACATTCACCTAGAATTGCTTTCTCTATTAGGATCTTTTTTGGTTCTGTATGAATTTTAGGATTGCTTTTTCTAATTCTGTGAAAGCTGGTGTTACTATTTTCATATAAGAATTGCACTGAATCTGTAGATTGCTTTAGGCAGTATGGTCATTTTAACAATATTAATTCTTATGATCCATGAGCGTGGGATTTTTTTTCTTTTTTTTTTTTTGTATTATCTATAATTGCTTTCATTGGTGTCTTACACCTTTCCTGGTACAGCTCTTTCACCACCTTGGTTAAATGTATTCCTGAGTGTTTTAATTTTGCGTATCTATTGTAAACGGCATTGCCTTCTTGATTTGGTTCTCAGCTAGATCATTATAGGTGTAGAGAAATGCTACCGGCTTTTACATATTGATTTTGTATTCTGAAACTTTACTTAGTTCATTTATCAATCATAAGAATTTTTGGCAGGGTCTTTAGGATTTTCTAGATTTAAGATCATAGCATCAGAAATAAAAATAATTTTACTTCCTCTTTTCTAATTTGGATTTTTAATTCTTCCTGTTGCCCAATAGCTCTGACAAGGCTTCCAGTACTATGTTGATAGGAAGTGGTGGATGTCCGTGTCCTTGTCTTGTGCCAGTTCTCAGAGGAGTGCTTTTAACTTTTCCTGTTCAGTATGATGTTGACTCTAGATATGTCATCTATGGCTTTTATTATTTTGAGGTATGTTCTTTCTATGCCTAAGTTTTTGAGGGTTTTCATCAGGTAAGGATGTTGAATTTCTTTTCAGATGCTTTTCTTTATGTCTATTGAGATGATCATATGGTTTTTGTTCTGGATTCTGCTCGTTCTTCTAAGTGGATGAGACATGCCAGAAAAGCATTTAGTCAGCCATCTTGGAAACAAGCATCTCAGATGTTTTCTTTCTCTATAGCTCATTCTTTCTTACCAGTGTTTTCAATTTTGTACTTAATTTTGTAAAGAGAGTAAATGATATAATTTCCACATATGTTTCCTCTGCCAAATCAGACTCACTATGCTTCCTTTCCTTGTATGCATAACCTACCCAGCAATACACACAAACATTTATTGCTTTGGAGAATTAGTTTGGGAACATTTTTGAAATGTACAAAAAAATGTATATCTTCAAAAGAAATTTCTTTTTGTGGCAAAAGACTTCTGAAGGTGCTCATGATGATATAGGGAGAAGAGGGGTTCTGGACAGGAAGAATTTTATGAAGGTGAGATGGGGAAATAGCTCCATTTCAGAGCTTCTGGGGAGAGAGGGGCCTGGCCCACATGGAAAGGTCTCTGATCTTACCCCCACCCTCCAGCCCCTGTTCTCCAGAACTATACTGTGGAGAGTTCCATCAGGATTGTTGTGGCTGGTCTGGTCTTCCTGGCTCTTTTGGCAATGCTGGCTAAGACCTGGTGGAGACATGAGGGGCCACAGGTGGAAATGGAAGAAACATGACTGAAGCTGGCTGGAGTGAATGGCGCGACATTCTGTCTGTGGGAGATTGGCCAGATGGGTTTCAAGTGTGTTGTATCAGCTGTGACTTTTAGTAATGTTCTTGCTACCACAATATCCACTCGTCCATCCCGAATAATTGTGATGAAATATTGTCCTTGGGATAATATTCATTTGCTAAAGACAGGGATGATACCTCAAGGTGCCACTATATACATCGAGGGGATCCACAAAAGTCCATTCAGTAAAATGTAGTTGGCATCTTAGGGTAGGTTGATTCCACCTCTAAAAAAGTAGGTACAACATCAGGTTGATTTTTCCGAAGAAAAGTGGTGATTGGCCATCTTTAGTCTCAATGTAAACGGTAATACTGATGAGTGTGGAAAAGGCAGGGAAGAGGATTGACAATAAGTGACACTCATTGTTTTCATCTGAGCTTTGAGACTGAAAGAGGAACACAGGAGTGAGATGTATGGGAACAAACCCCTTCTTTTTCCAGCTAAACAGAGTGGAAGTTGGACACTGAGTTTTGGCGTACAGCAAAATCCTAAGTCCATTGTTGGGTTGAACACGGCCATGTTGTACATCCTGGTTTCACAGCAGACACTGGAGGAAAACAGCCTGTATTCATAAGAGGCTGTCCCTCGGGTCACTGCCCAGAATATCCGGAGTTGGTGCTCACAGGGTTGGGAACTCTCCTGGACCAGACAGGCTCTGGATATGGGGGGGTACCAAGCTCCCCGGGGCCATGCCTCCACAGCTCTCTTCTCACCTCATTCTTGACCATTTCCCAAACCTCTGACCTCACCTTCATTCATCCATGGTGAACACGCTAAAGCTGGCCTTCAAAGCTTGAGACAGAGGAAAATTGGGCTTCATCTCTGGGAACTAAATTGGGGAGTGGAGACTCAGTTCTGGCCTGACAGGAGGGAGAAGACCCTGGATCCCAGTGTGGATGGGAAGAAGTATGTGTTTCTCTTTTGTGCTTGGACCCTGTGTCCAAGCATGTCTGAGATGTGATGAAGATGAATCTTCCTTTCCTTGTCTATTTTCTCATGCCAGAGAATTGGAATCTTATATTCCATTAACTCTTTCTGTTCTGTTCATCCAGATTCTATGAAGGAGAAAGGAAAAGATGTGATACTGTAATTTTGCTCCATTTGTCTAAAATGAGTAGGCTGCAACTCCTCTTGAAGTGATACCTTTTCTAGCTCTTGTTGGAGGTGTCTCAGGACTCATTACTTCGGGGAACCTGCAACTGTGTCAGTCTGGGGAAACTGCAAATATTCTTGTCTTACATTTGTCTCCAGCCAATTGTGATGGACTCCAGTGACCTGCAATTGCTGTTATTGCAGGTAAAATGTACCTGAGTCAGGCCACAGTTCTCCTGGACTATGAGCCCCTGGCCATGTTCCTGAGGCAATTCTGTTCATCTAAATATAATAATAATAACACACTAAAAATGGCAAGCCATTGTTAATTCCTGAAGTCTCATTTGAAAATTACTAAATGTCTGTTATTTTTTGGTGTTTACATTATATGTAGACAGATAAACTACACACACACACACACACACATGCACACAGAAGAATGGATTGGTTCATGTAGAAAAGTAAATAATTCAAGATGAAAGGATGAAATGTCATGGCACCTACTATTCTATTTTAGATAAAGGGTCTATGAAAAGATTGATTTCTTTTTATGTTTTATTTGTTGACATTTGAACACAAACTATGTAAGTGAGGGAGTCGATTTGAAAGGGAGAAGAGCAAGTTCAAACACATTCAGGTGAGGTCATGCTTTACATGTTTTAATTGAAATGATCCATCTTGGGAGTAGATCAATAACTGAGATGGTGCCAGGAATGTTAAAAAGCTTTTGTCAGTCCTAAATATTGACAAATAAAATTTAATTAAAGTCTTAGAAGAAAACACAAAGGAAAACTTCACAACATCGGATTTGGCAGTGATTCTTTAGATGTGACAACAACGGCACAGGCTACTACAGAAAAAATAAACAAGTTAGACTTTATGAAAATTTTGAAATATTGTGACTCAAAAGACAACATCAGTTACTTCACATGGCAAGGAAAAAGAACTTTTAAGACGATATTATCAAAGTAAAAAGACAACCCACAGAATGGGAGAAAATGTTTTCAAACCACACCACCTGTAAGGGATTAACATCCAGAATATACAGACAACTCCTAAAACTCAATCACAATAAACTCAATTCAAAAATGGGCAAAGTACTGAAACAGACATTTCTCCAAAGAACATACGCATGACAAGATATTCAGCATCACGAATCATTAGGGAAATACTAACTAAAACTACACCAGATGCCATTTCATACCCCTTAGGATGGGTATCATCAAAACAACAACAACAACAACAACAACAAAGTTTCTATACATTAACAACAAACTATCCAAAAAAGTTTACAAGAAAATAAGCCCATTTGCAATAACTACAGAAAACAAAACATGCAGGAATAAATTCACCCAAGGAGTAGAAAGATCTGTATGCAAAAGCTATAAAACATTGATGAAAAAACTCAAGAAATAAACAAATAAATCGAAAGATATTCCATGTTCACGGATCAGAAGGATTAATGTTGTTAAAATGTCCATTCTATCCAAAGTGATTCAATGCAACCATTATCAAAAATCCAATGACATTTTTTTTTACAGAAATAGAAAAAACAGTCCTAAAATTCATGTGGAACCACAAAAGATCTCAAATAACCAAAGCCATCTAGAGGGAAAGGAACAAAGTTGGAAGCATCACATTACCTAAACACAAACTACATTACAAAGTTACAGTAATTAAAACAACACAGTACTTGCATAAAAACAGACACATAGACCAATGGAAGTGATTCATAGCCCAGGAAAAAAAATGCACGCATTTAGGGTCAAACAATTTTTGGGATGTATCAAGAACACACAATGGAGAAGGAACAGTCTCTTTAATAAATGGGATTGGGAGACATGCAGAAGAATGGAAGTGGACATTTGCCTCACAAAACATACAAAGTCAACTCAAGATAGATTAATGACTTAAATGTAAGGTGAAAGACTATCATCCCAGCAATTTGGGAGGCCAAGGCGGGCAGATCACCTAAGGTCAGGATTCCAAGACCAGCATGGCCAACATGGTGAAATCCCGCCTCTACTAAAAATACAAAAACAGCTGGGTGTGGTTGTGGGTGCCTGTAATCTCAGCTACTCGGGAGGTTGAGACAGGAGAATCACTTGAACCCAGGAGGTAGAGGTTGCAGTGAGCCGAGATCGCATCACTGCACTCCAGCCGGGGCAACAGAGTGAGACTCCATCTTAAAAAAAAAAAAAACTACTAAAAGAAATCAAGGGAAAACTCCACTGGCTTGGGCAAAACCATTTTGGATATTAACCCAAAGGCCCAGGCAACAAAAGCAAAAGTAGACAAATAACATTATATCAAATTGAAAGTTTCTGCAAAGAAAAAAAAAAACTCAACAAGTGGAAAGACAACCTATGGAATGGGAGAATATATTTGCACCCATACATCTAATAAGGAATTAATATCCAAAATATATAAGAAACTCAAACAACTCAATGGTAAGAAATCAAATAACCCAACTTAAAAAAATGGGCAAAGTATCTGAATAAACATTTCTAAGAATAAGACAAATCACCAAAAGGTATATGAAAAAATGATTAGCATTACTAAACATCAGCTAAATAAAAATTAAAACTAGAATGAGATATCACCTCACACCTCTTAGAATGACCATTAACAGTCTGGGCATGGTGGCTCATGCCTGTAATTCAGGCACTTTGGGAGGCCGAGGCAGGGAGATTACCTGAGGTCAGCAGTTCGAAACCAGCCTGGCCAATATGGTGAAATCCCATCCCTACTAAAAATACAAAAATTAGCAGAGTTTGGTGGCGCACACTTGTAGTCCCAGCTACTCTGGAGACTGAGGCAGGGGAATCGCTTGAACCCAGGAGGCAGAGGTTGCAGTACACCGAGATTGTGCCACTGCACTCCAGCCTGGGTGACAGAGCAAGACTGAGTCTCAAAAAAAAAAAAAAAAAGACCATTATCAAAAACATAAAAAATAACAAGCATTAACGAGGATGTGGAGAAAAGGGAACATTTGTATGCAGTTGATGGGAATGTAAATTAGCACAACCATTATGGAAAACAGTCTGGAAGTTCCTGAAAAAATTAAACATAGAATTCCCATATGTGTCTGCAATCCAACTACTGCGCATGTATCCAAAGGAAGTGGAATCAGTATGTTGAAGAGATATCTGCATTCCCATGTTTACAGCCGCATTATTCATAACAGCCAAGATGTGGAATCACCCTTACTGCCCATCTATGGGTGCATGGACAAAGAAAACGTGGTATACGATAGGAACGTAATGAAGTACTATACAACCTTTACAACAAAGAAGGAAGTCCTCTCATTTGTGACAATGTGAAAAAACTTAGAGGACATTATGTTAAGGGAAACAATCCAGGCACAGAAAGACAAATGCCACATGATCTCATGTGTGGAGTGTAAGAAGTGGAACCTAGAGGAACAGTAAAATGGTCGTCGAAAGAACCTGGGAAGGAGAGAGATTGAAGAGATGTTGGTCAAAGGATGCAAAATTTCAGTTAGAAGAAATCGGTTCAAGAGATCTATTGTATGTCTTGGTGACTCCATTTAATAGCAACATATGGTGTATTGAACATTACTAAGAGATTAGATTTTACATGTTCTCACCACACACACAAAACATACAAGTATGTGAAAAAATAAATAGATAAAGAGGTTGTTTCATCCATTCCACAATGTGTACCTATATGAAAACATCATGATGGACACCACAAATACCCTTTTCCTCATTAATTAAATTTGTTTTGGCTTTTTTTTTGAGACGCAGTTTCACTGTTGTTGCCCAAGCTGAGGTGCAATGGCGTGATCTCCGCTCACTGCAACCTCTGCCTCCCAGGTTCAAGCGGTTCTCCTGACTCAGCCTCCCAAGCAGCTGGGACTACAGTTGCGTACCACCCCGTCCGGCTATATTTGTGTTTCTAGTAGAGACAGGGTTTCGCCATGTTGGCCAGGCTGGTCTCGAACTCCAGACCTCAGGTGATCCACCCGCTTCGCCCTCCCAAAGTGCTAGATTTCAGGCTGAGACACCACACCCAGCCTGTACATTGACTTTCTGCCCTTAAACTGTGCTGAAGTTTGTTTCTCAGATGTAGGAGCCTTTGGGCAGAGACTATGGGGTTTCTAGGTATAGAAATTATCTCATCTTCAAACAGAGGTAATTTGACTACCTCTCTCTGCTACTCTCTTCTTACTTGGATGCCTTATAATTCTTTCTCTTTCCTGATGGCTCTGTCTAGGACTTCAAGTACTATGTTGAATAGGATGGTGAGAGTGGGCATTCTTGTCTTGTTTCACTTATGAAGGGAACTTCTTCCAGCTTTTACTCATTCAGTATGATGTTGGTTGTGGGTTTGTCATAGGCGGCTCTTATTATATTGAGTTATGTTTCTTCAATGCTTAGCTTGTTGAGGGCTTTTAACATGAAGAAATGCTTAGTAAAAAGTATGTTCTACATGTGTGTTGAGAAGATCATGTGGTTTTTGTTTTTAGTTTTGTTTAGGTGATGAATCACATGTATTGATTGTGTATGTTCAACCAACCTTGCACCCTAAGAATAAAGTTGACTTGATCATGGTGGATTCACTTTTTGATATGCTGCGGGATTCAGTTCTTAGTATTTTTTGTGGATTTTTGCATCTATGCTCATCAGGAATATTGGCATGTAGTTTTCTTTTGTTTAATATTCTTTTCTGTCTTTAGTATCAGGGTGATGCCAGCCTTATAGAATGAGTAAAGGCCACCCTGGGCAAACAGTGAGACCCATCCCTTTTTAAAAATTATGAGTTTTACAAATTTAAAATGCATAGTGAAAAAGTTCTTACAAACTCCAGAAAGGTAGGTGTAAATAAGAGACATTTGTAAGAATGACAGCACATTAAATGTGTAGATTTCAACCTTCAGTTATTGCAATATTCCAGTATCAAGTTGGAGGATGTTATCAGTCTGATATTTTTTCCTCAAATGAGAGAGAGAAAGAAAGACACACAAACAACACAGGGAGAAAAAAAGCACACGTTACAGAGAGACAAAAAGGGAGACAGGGAACTGTGAATTTGGACTCTTGTGTCATAAGACAAATTCTAGATAACACGACCAGACCTTCAATTGACATATTGTGTTTTTGCTAATAAGGTGGAATTCTATGATGCGAAATAACTATATAGTCTTTTCTACTGGGATTTAAATCATTTTATCTGTTTCTGGCTTAACAGGAAAAATACAACCATGGAAAATTATGATGATTTATTTAATACGATTGCTCTATAGTGTTAATAAAACCTATTAGGTATTTTGCATATTACATATCAAGGAGAGTTTGAATCTCAGGTAGAAACAAAAAAAAATACATCAAAAGTTCCTCATGTGAGTGCAGAATTCAATCGTCCCGTGCAGGGGTAAGTGAGTCTGAGATGTGTTTTGAGCCTGGCCGTTGCGCATGATGTGAACTGACAAGTCTAGTCTGCAGTTTTCAGAAACCCTCATTCCTCCCTTGACTGACTCACCACTTGAACCTCATATGACGTAGAAGAAGCCTACCTATGTCCCCTTCACATGTTGTGGTCAATGTGTCAACTGCACGATCCGGGCCCCTCACCACATCCTCTGCACCGGTCAGTCGAGCCGAGTCACTGCGTCCTGGCAGCAGAAGCTGCACCATGTCCATGTCACCCACGGTCATCATCCTGGCATGTCTTGGTGAGTCCTGGAAGGGAAGGAGCACCAGGGTTACACTATGGGCCTGCAGATTGGGTGTCTCCCCAGCAGAGAGCCATGTTCTGAAGCAAGTGAGTGGTGAGGATGAGTTAATTTTCAGTCCAGCGTGGCGCCCAGTGGCTCAGGAGGAAAGGGTAGGTTGGTGCCGAGATGAATAGTTCATCATGATCTTTCTTTGCAGGGTTCTTCTTGGACCAGAGTGTGTGGGCACACGTGGGTGAGTCCTTCCCCAAATGATGGGTTGCCATCTTCACCCCAATACAAGTGAATTTTCCGGAAATGGGAGGGAGGCAGCACAGAGGGTGGGCTGATGGGCTGACCATGGGAAGGCCTGGGGGGAGTCTCTCATGAACTAGTAAGAGGAGATCCTGGGAGTCTCTCATGAACTAGTAAGAGGAGATCCTGGGAGTCTCTCATGAACTAGTAAGAGGAGATCCTGGGAGTCTCTCATGAACTAGTAAGAGGAGATCCTGGTATGCTCAGCCCTCTGTTTTGTCTTAGCCCTCCCCAGCCTTTCTTCCCCATGGCTGAGTTGAGCTCTGTGTGGCCCAGGCGGGATACTGAGGTGCTCAAAGCTGGGGTGTGTGGGGGGATGTGGTGTCACCGACAGAGGAGGGAAGGGTAGCAGTGTTAGGAACAGCAGGTCCTCTGAGGACAAGAGGGTAACTCACACCCTCCAGCGTTTCCATGACGGTAGGGGCTGCAGTGTGGCTGCTGTCATTCTGCCAGAAGAGGTGGGGGAACCACAGCCACGACCCTGCCATTCCAAATCCTCTGATGGAGCTCAGTTGTTTATTGTGGTTCAGGCATTAGCTAATATTCCATTCACAAAGGTCATACCCTCCACCCCATGTCTACTTTGTGTTGTTTGGTGTAACTAATCTTGCAGTATTAAAATCTAGTAAGAGTCCCTTACTCAGCACCTGCTCAGTTCTCAACTGACACTTTTGTTGTAGGGAGACGCCACGTCTATGCGGGATGGGTCCTTCCTGTAGCCCCAGGCACCCAGGTGTGGTAGGAGCCTTAGAAAGAAGAAATGGGGAGAATCTTCTGAGCACAGGGAGGGAGGGGCAGCTCAACATACTCCTCTCTGAGGCGGCATCTCCTTCTCCCCAAGGTGGTCAGGACAAGCCCTTCTGCTCTGCCTGGCCCAGCGCTGTGGTGCCTCAAGGAGGACACGTGACTCTTCGGTGTCACTATCGTCGTGGGTTTAACATCTTCACGCTGTACAAGAAAGATGGGGTCCCTGTCCCTGAGCTCTACAACAGAATATTCTGGAACAGTTTCCTCATTAGCCCTGTGACCCCAGCACACGCAGGGACCTACAGATGTCGAGGTTTTCACCCGCACTCCCCCACTGAGTGGTCGGCACCCAGCAACCCCCTGGTGATCATGGTCACAGGTCAGAGGGCTCCTGTCTGGGCTTCTCCTTGTCCCACCTCCTGAGTCCCAGAGCTTCTGGTGGGGGTGTCCACCAGAGTCCGATCATCCAGGCCCCAACTATATTTGGGGTAAAGGGGGATTGAATACAGGGGAATGGGTGCTGTGTTGGAAAGAATAACTGTCCCCATCGATGGCCACATTGTAATCCTTGGAGCCTGTGACTATGTTATAGGGCAGGGGACTGAAGGGGAAGATGGAGCTCAGGTTGTTGATGAGTTGACCTTGAGATGGGGAGATGGCCTGGACTCTCCCACTGGGCTCAGTGTAATCACAAGGGTCCATATGAGTGGAGAAGGAAGAGGAGAATGGGGATTAGAGCAGCATCGTGGGATACTCCACCAGCCACTGTGGGCTTTGAAGGTGGAGGAAGACCACGAGCCACGAAGGGGCTGGAGAAATCAATGGAACTGATTCTCCCGAGTCTCCAGAGGGAATGCAGCCCTGCAGATGCATTGATTGTAGCCCAGGAAGAACAGGGTCTGATTTCTGTCTCCAGAAGTGGAAGGGGTCAGTGTGTTCTCTCCTGTCGCCATGTTTGTGATAATTTTCTCCAGCAACAACAGGAAACCAACACAGGAACCCAGGTGAAGGACAAGTTAAAAAACCAAACAAGAAGGTTGGCTACCCTGAGATCAGCAAGGGTGCACTGCTGATGCCACCACCAGGCTGGAACCACATAGGGAGGGATCGACAGGAAGAGTTGGGGGTGGAGGGTGAGAGAGAGAGAGAGAGCACTAGGCCATAGAGCAGGGCAGTGAGTTCTCAGCTCAGGTGGGAGGGGAGCTGTGACAAGGAAGAACCTCCCTGAGGAAACTGCCTCTTCTCCTTCCAGGTCTATATGAGAAACCTTCGCTTACAGCCCGGCCGGGCCCCACGGTTCGCACAGGAGAGAACGTGACCTTGTCCTGCAGCTCCCAGAGCTCCTTTGACATCTACCATCTATCCAGGGAGGGGGAAGCCCATGAACTTAGGCTCCCTGCAGTGCCCAGCATCAATGGAACATTCCAGGCCGACTTCCCTCTGGGTCCTGCCACCCACGGAGAGACCTACAGATGCTTCGGCTCTTTCCATGGATCTCCCTACGAGTGGTCAGACGCGAGTGACCCACTGCCTGTTTCTGTCACAGGTGAGGAAAGCCAATGTCTGTCCCATGTCCTATGGTCCTAGAGCCTTAGCTGAGGAGCTTCCTGCTGATGATGGAGAGAAGCATGGACAGATGTGGAGAGAAGATGCAGCATGGTGTGAGGGTGGGATCAGGGCACAGGATGGCAGACAGGGCACCTCCAAACCCTCCTGCATGGCCTGCATGGAAGCTTGCAGTAAGGGCTCCGGGTACCCAGGCAGATGGAGAAAGTGGTCAGGACAGACCCAGAGGAGGGAGACTGGGCTCAGTTTGGGGAGATCAGAGGTTCCCTCAGCCCCTCAACCTTACCCATTTCCCAGAAGCCCACCCTGGCCTCTCACCTACACAGAGATGTCATCACCAGCAACCCCTACACTTTTTCTTTTCCTTTGAAAAAATGCTGATTGAGGTTAAATATACCTATATAATTTATCAACTTTACCATTTTTAAGTGTAAAATCTAGGGATCATAAATACCTTTATATGCTGTGTGCGGTGGCTCACGCCTGTAATCTCAGCATTTTGAGACGCCAAGGCAGGTGGATCATTTAAAATCAGGGGCTGGAGACCAGCCCGGCCAACATGGGGGAACCAATCTTTACTAAAAAGACAAAAAAAATAAAATTAGCCAGGCATGGTGCCAGGCGCCTATAATCCCAGCAACTTGGGAGGCTGAGGCGGGAGAGTGGCTTAAACCCAGGAGGAGGAGGTTGCAGTGAGCTGAGATCATGCCACTGCACTGCAGCCTGGTGACACAGAGAGACTCTGTCTCTAAATAAATAAATAAATAAATACTTTTATATTCTTCTTTTGTTACCCTCCACCCCTTCCTTCCTAACCTCTGGTATCCACCATTCTACTCTCTACCTTCATGAGGTCCACCTTTTACATCCTGCATGTGAGTAAGAAATGGCAATCCTTGTAATGACCTCTAGTCCATCCATGTGGCTGCAAATGACAGGACGTTACTCTTTCTATGGATGAGTTGTCTCCATTGTGTGTATGTACTACATTCTCTCTATCCATTCATCCACTGATGGGCAGGTAGGTTGACTCCACATCTTGGCTACTGTGAACAGTGCTGGAACAGTCATGGGAGTGCAGATGTCACTTCAATACACTGAAGTCCTTTTCTTTGCATTTACACCCACTAGTGGAATTGCTAGATCCTCTGGATGTTCTCTTTTTAGGTTTTGTTTTATGCTTTTTGTTTTTTTGACATAGCGTTTCACTCTTGTTGCCCAAGCTGGAGTGCAATGGCACCACCTGGGCTCACTGCAACCTCTACCTCCAGGATTCAAGTGATTCTCCAGCCTCAGCCTCCCGAGTAGTTGGGATTACTGGTGCCCGCCACCAAGCCTGGCTGATTTTTGTATTTTTAGTAGAGACGGGGTTTCACCATGTTAGCCAGGCTGGTCTCGAACTCTTGACCTCCAGTGATCTGCCCACTTCAGCCTCCCAAGGTGCTGGGATTACAAGCGTGAGCCACAGTGCCTAATCTCTTTTCAGTTTTTAAGGAACTTCCATATTCTTCTCCTCTGTAATGGCTGTATTAATTTACATTCCTATCAACAGTGTATCAGGGTTCTCCTTTCTCCACCACCTTGCCAACATTTGTTTTGTCTGTCTCTGAGATAAAACCCATTGTAATGGGGTGAGATGATAGCTCATTGTGACTTCATTTGCATTTCTCTGATGATTAGTGATACTGAGCACTTTTTCATATATGCAATGTATATATGTTCATTTGTATGTTTTGTTCATTGAGAAATGTCTGTTCAGGTCTTTTACTAATTTTATAATTAAATTATTAGTTTTATTGAGGTGTTTGAGCTTCTTTTATATTCTAGTTATTAATCCCATCTCAGATGCATAGTTTGCAAATATTTGCTCCCATTCTGTGGGTTTTCTCTTCTTCACTTCATTGGTTGCTTCCTTTGCGGTGCAGAAGCTGCTTGATTTGATATAATCCCAATGGTCTATTTTTTTTGTTGTTGTTGTGATTACTTGTGTTTTTGAGGTTTTAAACAAAATGTCTTCCCTCAGACAAATGTCCTGGAGCATTTCTCCAGTGTTTCCTTTTAGACATTTAATGGATTCAGGTCTTAAGTCATTAATCCATTTTCATCTGATTTTTGTGTATGGTGAGAGGTAGAGGTGCAGTTTCATCCCTCTGCATGTAGATATCCAGTTTTCCCTGCACCATTTATTGAAATGACTGTCCTTTCCAGATTGTAGATTCTTCGAACCTTTGTCAAAGTCCATTGGATGTAAATGGGTGGATTACATCCGTGTTCTTCATTCTGCTTCATTGTTTTATGTGCTTTTCTTTATGCCAATGTCATGTTGTTTTGCTTACTACAGCTCTGTAACATATTTTTAAGTCAGGTAGTGTGATGCTCCTGTTTTCTCCTTATACCTTGAAGTCTCAAGATAGTTGGTGTCACCTACAATGATTATGGAGAATGGGATGCCAGGACTCCCAGGGCCCAACATTAGATAATAGAAGGTTGGCCATGAACCAACCTCAAAGATTTCCATTGAGTAGAAAAGACAGGCATCCTCATTGCCACACCTCTCTCCTGTCCCATGTTCTAGGAAACCCTTCTAGTAGTTGGCCTTCACCCACTGAACCAAGCTTCAAAACTGGTAAGTGAAGGACCCCTCTTATCTCTGCTTTTGGAAACCTGGGGAGGTAGAAGCCTTGGATTCAAGCGTTGGCTCAGCACCTGCCAGCTCTGTGATTGTGGGCCTGTCTTCCATTGTCTCTGAACCCCAGACACTCCAACAGCGAAAGGGATCTGGGCCCAGCACAGGGCTCAGTGAAATCTCTTAATCTCTAATTTTCTGCTGCTGAGACCTCAGGGTAGAAGGATGAGTGCAAATCAGACATTCTTCTCAGGAAAAATGCTGTGTTTGTTCTGCCTGCATTCCTAACTGGGAGGACAAATGCCTGGGGGCTTGAGAAGGGGAAGGAAGGGGAACATTTTTGAGGGTGGTGTGTTTGTAGAGAAGTTCTACTTGCCAAGGAATGAGCTCCTGTCTGTCATGATCCAACCCTGGTTGACTTAGTGGAACAAGAGCTTTGCGGTAAGAGAGAACGTAGTTCATCCGTGCACATGACACTTCCACTTACTCGTTCAGCCACTGCCCCATGCTCAGACTGTGCAGTGTGGAACTTTTTCCTATGTTGCCATAACAAATTTCCACAAGCTTCGTGGATGGAAACCACATTTTTAAAAAATATCTCATGGTGCTGTAGCTCAGAAGTATGAAATGCATCATCTCACTGGGCTAAAATCAAGGTGACAGCAAGGCTGCCTTCCCTCTGAATGTTCCAGGCAAGAATCTGCTTCCTCACTTTTCCCAGCTCCTAGAGGCTCCCACATTCCTTGGCTCCTGGTCCCCGTCTTCCTCCCTCAAAGTCCACAAAGGCTGGTCACGCCTCTCACACGGCATCACTCAGACCCTTCTTCCTTGTCCACACCTCTTTCTCTGAATGCTGCTCTGCCTTCTTCCTCATCTTTTAAGGACTTTGGCATTCTATTGGAAACACCAAGATAATCCATCATAATTTCCCTAAAATCATCTAGGATACCCTCCTTTTAAGGTTAGCTGATTAGCAACCGTAATTCCATCTGCAATCTGCATTCCTTTTTTCCATGTAAAATAACATATTCACAAGATATGGCGACTAGGACAGGAACATTTTGGGGTGGGGCGGCATTCTTATCCTTTCCACAAATGGTAAACAAGGTGCATTTGGCCTCTGCTCTTGGACACTGATATTGCAAAGGATTAAATGGGAGGGCAGAAAATGAATACACCAGTGGACCAATAAATGAATGATCCATTGGGAAGCATCTGTGCATGAGAATGATTGATTGATTGGTTGTTTTTATGAGACGGTGTCTCCCTCTGTGCCCCAGGCTGGAGTGCAGTGGCGGGATCTCGGCTCACCGCAACCTCCACCTCCCAGGTTAAAGCGATTCTCTACACTCAGCTTCCCGAGAGGCTGGGATTACACCCATGTCCCACCACGCCTGGCTAATTTTTTTTTGGTATTTTTTTTTAGTACAGACAAGGTTTTACCATGTTGCCCAGGCTATCTCAAACTCCCAACCTTAAGGGATCCGCCCGTCTCAGCCTCCCAAAGTGCTGAGATTAGAGGCGTGAGCCAAGGCGCCGAGCCGTATTTTAAAAGAAATAATAGATAATGCTGAGTGTATAATTTCGGGTGACAGAGAAGTTCTCACTGATCAAATAATACTTGTGACCTTAATGAAAAAAATAGATCAACCCCTGGAAGATTGGCGGAAGGATTTTCCACACAGCTGTCAGCCGTGAAGGCACAAAGGTGAAAACAATGTTATGTGGAAGGAAGAGGCTCTGCCTGAAATGCTGGGAATGACATGGGGAGAATGACAAGACGACTGTGGAGAGACAGAGAGCACTCTGGGTACACAGGAAACTAAGGAGGAACAAGGAGCGTGTGTTTGATACTCACAGCCATTGGACTTACCTCGGGGCTAACTGGGAATCCCTACATGATGAATAGTGACTGACATGAAAATAAGGGAGGCCCAGGTGCATAACTGGAATCTAGGAGACTGTGGAAAAGGCAATTCCCGCCCCCCTGGTGAAATGTGGTGCTGATTTAGACACTAAATGAATGAAAGATGGACACAAGATGTGTTTGTGAGGTAGAGTAATTTGCAGGGAGGGCTTGCCTGGTTTGATTTTTCCTAATTGTTTAATCTTCACTTCATTGATTTCTTTCTGAGATTTATTTTTCCTACATGTAAATCAATACTTGGCAGAGGAGTGAGAGATACATGAGGGGTGGTGCAAAGGAAGAGACCTATTATAATATAACACACAAGGTTCTGAACGGTGGCTCACACCTGTAACCCAACATTTTGGGAGGCTGAGGAGGCTGGATCAAGTGAGATCAGGAGTTCGAGATCAGCCTGGACAACATGGTGAAACCCCATCTCTACAAAATATACAAAAACTAGCTGGGGGTGGTGGCGCGTGCCTGTAATACCAGCTATTCAGGAAGTTGAAGAAGGAGAATGGCTTCAACCAGGGAGGGAGAGGTTACAGTGAGCCAAGATCGCGTCATTGCACTGCACCCTAGGTGACAGAGTGAGACTCCATGGCAAAAAATAAAAATAAAGAATACATAAATATAATATAACATACACGAATGACAAAGGCACACCAATTCCAATCATCATTTTTCTATTTCTCTATAATGACTTCTTTGATCCTTTATCCTATCCATAAGAAAATCAGGCGAAAACATCTTCCTTATTTGGCTTTCTGTGAGCATGAGATCATATGGAAAATGTGAAACCCACCAGCACAGGTCCTGGAATAGAGAACGTGATCTGTTCATGGCACAAAACTTGCCCCTTCACCCAAATCCCCCACCTCACCCCTACTTCCAATCACATTAATGATACAGATAGATCATGGGGAGGTAAAAACTAATATTCTTTGGAGTTCAGATCGTAGACTCAGAGACCAGTGCCAGCACTATCTCCTGGTCACCTTTTGGAGTAATTCACAGAAAGACAGGCTGTATTGAAGCAACAGATGATGGAGGGGGTGGTCTTTCCCCCAGACTCTCGGGTGGAACAGCAGCCTAATATCTGACTCCCAAGATGACAAAAGTAGCATGTTGCCCACGAGCTTCATCATTATTTCCTGGCTGTTTGATATAAGACAGCTCAACCTCACTTATGTTGATTTCAATGTCACTGTTTTTTCCTTTTCTTGGAGAATGTAATTTGTTTGAGTCAAGAGGGTTGTGGATGTAGAAACTGTAAAGCACATTCACTGTGTATCAATCCCAGTCCAGTCTTCCCAGAGAAGACTCTAAACACCTCCCATACTGCACCTGGGCCTGTGCCAATTTCTATCACTCACCATCACTCCAGGGAGACAGAACACACAGGGAATACATTACATAGGCAGGTTCATTACTTATAGATAAGCAGCGAGTGACAACAGAAACCTTCCTTTCAGGGTGAGCCAGTCCCTCAAGGCTCAGAAAAACTGCTCAGGACACATGGAGTCACTTCATGTGCACTGTAGCTGGGGGAAGCCAGAAAGCAGCCCAGCCTGGGTTTTGTACCCTGGAGCCACAGGGAACACTCAGCTAAAGCACTGCATGATGTTCTCCTCCAGGAAGAACAGGAAGACAGCCCAGGCTGTTCTGAGACGTTCCTCCTGATCTCAGGATGTTGCTGTCTTAGCCTATTTTTGTTGCTATAAAAGAACACTTGAGCCTGGGTATCTTCTAAAGAAAAGAGATGTGTTTGGCTCACTGATCGGCACGCTGTACTAGAAGCAGGACACTACCATCTATTTCTGGCTGCGGCCTCAGGCTGCTCCCACACTGACAGAAGAGAAGGGGGTCCTGCGTGTGCAGAGACCACAGAGATCACATGGCAAGAGAGGGAGAAAGGGGGTGTGATGGAGCTTCCAAGCTCTTTTTAAGAATCAACTCTCCAGGGTACTAATAGAGGGAGAACTTGCTAAACCCGTCCTCTGGGGACAGCATTAATCTATTCATGATGGATCCACCCCCATGACCAAAACACCCCTCCCAATAGGCACAACCTCCCACACTGGGGATTAAATTTCAAAGTGGGGTTTGGAGGGGTCAAACATTGAAACAATAGCAGTTGTATCATCAGCACATTCTATTGTTATTATGAAAACTATAACGGAGAAAGCAGGAGAAAGCTGGGTCTCCCGCCTCGTGGGTGCTTGTCCTAAAGAGGTGTTTTATGTGGTTGCCTGGCAACCAAGAAATGAGAGACAATCCACAAAGAGGAACTGCTATGGTTAGCTTCTTATTGGATTCTCATCTTCCTCCAGGTATCGCCAGACACCTGCATGCTGTGATTAGGTACTCAGTGGCCATCATCCTCTTCACCATCCTTCCCTTCTTTCTCCTTCATCGCTGGTGCTCCAAAAAAAAAAGTAAGCCTCACGAAGCAGAGGCCAGAGAACTCAGGGCCCTGTGCGGAAGCAGGATGGGAGCACGCAGGTGTGTGTTCCTCACTGGCAGGAAAGTCTCTGGCCCAAGGCAGGAGCCAGAGGCAGAGCTTTCTAGAGAGAGCACCAGACACCCTGCCCCTGCCTTCAGCTCACAGACCATTGCCTGATTGTGAACTGTATCCTCACGTCCCCTGCAGCCACTCACATCCAGGAGAAGATTCCATGACAGGCAGAAAGTGGGAGATAGAATCAATGGGATGGGAACTGACAGCTATTCATGGAATGGGGTCTTGCACTCAGAGAGATGGAATGTCTGAGTCTGGCTGTTGGCAGCTGAGGGACCTCAGGCACCTATGGCCTCCCCCTGTGTGTTGGTATCTGTTCATGAAATGAGGACCCAGAAGTGCCCTCCCAGCTGTTTTGATTGCTTCCGTCTCCTACAGATGCTGCTGTAATGAACCAAGAGCCTGCGGGACACAGAACAGTGAACAGGGAGGTAGGTCCTCCTAGCCCAGCCTCATGGATACAGTCTTATTCCCTAATAGTCCTGAAAAATGTGAACACCCTCCCTCACTCAGGATTTCCCTCTCTCCAGGACTCTGATGAACAAGACCCTCAGGAGGTGACATACGCACAGTTGGATCACTGCATTTTCACACAGAGAAAAATCACTGGCCCTTCTCAGAGGAGCAAGAGACCCTCAACAGATACCAGCGTGTGTATAGAACTTCCAAATGCTGAGCCCAGAGCGTTATCTCCTGCCCATGAGCACCACAGTCAGGCCTTGATGGGATCTTCTAGGGAGACAACAGCCCTGTCTCAAACCCAGCTTGCCAGCTCTAATGTACCAGCAGCTGGAATCTGAAGGCGTGAGTCTCCATCTTAGAGCATCACTCTTCCTCACACCACAAATCTGGTGCCTGTCTCTTGCTTACCAATGTCTAAGGTCCCCACTGCCTGCTGCAGAGAAAACACACTCCTTTGCTTAGCCCACAATTCTCTATTTCACTTGACCCCTGCCCACCTCTCCAACCTAACTGGCTTACTTCCTAGTCTACTTGAGGCTGCAATCACACTGAGGAACTCACAATTCCAAACATACAAGAGGCTCTCTATTAACACGGCACTTAGACACGTGCTGTTCCACCTTCCCTCGTGCTGTTCCACCTTTCCTCAGACTATTTTTCAGCCTTCTGGCATCAGCAAACCTTATAAAATTTTTTTGATTTCAGTGTAGTTCTCTCCTCTTCAAATAAACATGTCTGCCTTCATTCTTTAGGTGACTCTTTTTTTGGCTGAAAGTTTCCAGTGTTATCATTACCATGTCCAAATAACTCCAACTGTTCTCCACTGGGTTCTCACCCCTGGACTCTGAGCTTCTGGAAGCAGGGTGGAGCCTGATTTGTCTCTGAGACTCCAATTTCCATCCAAAGATGCAGCACATAAGAGGTTCCAAGGATCGTGAATCACATGAACAAGTGATATTCTTACTCTCTGCAGACCTGGAAAGCTGGCAGAGTCATTCCATGATGAAACATTTGTAGAGTCATAGGCCTTGTCAGTCTCATCTCCACGGGGACACATATCAACACATCATCTTTCATACTATAAATATACAGTCGGTCCTCTGTATCTGTGGGATTTACAGGTGTTTATTGAACCAAATATAAATCAAAAATATTCAGAGAAAAAATCCACAAAGTTTCAAAAAGCAAAACTATGTTGAATGGACACAAATGAAGCTGTGTGTAGGCTGTATCAGGAATTATAAATAATCAAGGGATGATTTCATGTACACAGGAGGATGTGCATGGGTTATTTGCAAATGCTGTGCCATTTCATGTAAGAGGCTTGAGCATCTGCAGATTGTGCTATCTGAGTGGAGATCCTGAAACCAATCACCCACGAATAGTGAGGGATGACTGTATATAATTTTTATTTCTCAATTTTAAATATAAAACATAAAAAAATTACAATAACAAGATAAAATAAACAAGTGTTTTATAGTGTGAGAATACTTTTAGATATATTTTTCTCCATGTGTAACCCTTGGGCCCATGTTATTTATTGAGAAGACATTCTATTCCACCTTAAACCACATGGCAGCCTTTGTCAACTATAAAGGGACTGTGTGTACACGGATGTATTTTAGACACTGTTTTCTGCTCAGTGGCTCTCTCTCTGTCCACTCTCTTGAGAATGCTGCATTTTATGCAGCCTTATACAACCCCTAAAATTTGGTAGCTGGAGTCCTCTAGTTATTTATTATAGGCTATTTGCTATGCTTTTTTTATTTTTCTTGAGGCAGAGTCTCGCTCTGTTGCCCAGGCTGGAGTGCAGTGGCACGATCTCGGCTCACTGCAACTTCCGCCTCCCAGGTTCAAGGGATTCCGTGGCTCAGCCTCTTGAATAGCTGGCATTACAAGTGCCTGCTACCAGGCATGGCTAATTTTTGTATTTTTAGCAGAGACATGGTTTCACTATATTGGCCAGGCTGGTCTCAAACTCCTGACCTCGGTTGATCACTCACTTCGGCTTCCAAAGTGCTGGGGAAATTGATTTTCTATAGCATTATGTTACTGGATATTTCTGTAAAATTTAAAATGAGGGAGGCAGAGAGACAGAGAGAGAGCAAACCATGAGTTGGAACTCTGGAATCTTGGGACATGAGACAAATTCTAGATAAATCTACAAAAATCCAGAATTTACATGTTGTGATTTTTGCTGATAAAGTACAATTCTAAGATTGTAAATAATTGCATAATCCTTCCCTGGGAGTTTAAATCATTTGAACTGGTTCTGCTGTAATACTAGAAATACAATCATGAAAAATTCTAATGGTTTATTAGTCACAATTGCTCTGAAAACCTTAATAATACCTATTAGATATTTTGCATATTACACAGGAAGAAGAGTTTGAATCTCAGATAAAAGCAAAAAAAATACATGAAAAGTCTTTCATGTTAGCACAGATTTTAGGCATCTCGTGTTCGGGAGGTTGGATCTAAGACGTGTTTTGAGTTGGTCATAGTGAAGGACGCGAGGTGTCAATTCTAGTGAGAGCAATTTCCAGGAAGCCATGTTCCGCTCTTGAGCGAGCACCCACTGGGCCTCATGCAAGGTAGAAAGAGCCTGCGTACGTCACCCTCCCATGATGTGGTCAACATGTAAACTGCATGGGCAGGGCGCCAAATAACATCCTGTGCGCTGCTGAGCTGAGCTGGGGCGCGGCCGCCTGTCTGCACCGGCAGCACCATGTTGCTCATGGTCGTCAGCATGGCGTGTGTTGGTGAGTCCTGGAAGGGAATCGAGGGAGGGAGTGCGGGGATGGAGATCTGGACCTGGAGGTAAAGATATGGGCCTAGAGGTGGAGTTATGGGCCTGGAGGTGGAGTTATGGGCCTGAAGTGGAGATCTGGGCCTGGAGTGGAGATCTGGGCCTGGAGTGGAGATAGGGGCCTGGGGTGGAGATATGTGCCTGGAGTGGAGATCTGGGCCTGGAGTGGAGATATGGGCCTGGGGTGGAGATATGTGCCTGGGGTGGAGATATGGGCCTGGAGGGGAGATATGGATGGGCCTGGAGGGGAGATGTGGGCCTAGAGGTGGAGTGATGGGCCTAGAAGTGGAGCGATGGGCCTGGAGTGGAGATATGGGCCTGGAGGTGGAGTTATGGGCCTGCAGTAGAGATATGGGCCTGAAGTGGAGATATGGGCCTGGAGTGGAGATATGGGCCTAGAGGTGGAGTTATGGGCCCGGAGGTGGAGTTAAGGGCATGAAGTGGAGATCTGGGCCTGGAGTGGAGATATGATCCTGGAGTGGAGATATGGGCCTGGGGTGGAGATACGGGCCTGGAGCAGACATACAAGCCTGGAAAGGAGATATGGGCCTGGAGAGGAGATAGAAGCCTGGAGTGGAAATATGGGCCTGGAGTGGAGATATGAGCCTGGAGTGGATATATGAGCCTGGAGTTGAGATAGGAGCCTGGAGTGGAGATATGGGCCTGGAGTGGACTTATCAGCCTGGAGAGGAGATATGGGTCTGGAGTGGAGATACGGACCTGGAGTGGAGATCTGGGCCTGTTGTGTAGATCTAGGCCTGGAGGTAGAGATCTGGGCCTGGAGGCTGAGTCTCTGCACAGCCGAGATCCTTGTTCCTGGGGGCAGGTAGGCAGCGAGGGTGAGTTTACCTTCAGCCCAGCAAGGGCCTGGCTGCCAAGACGCACAGCCCAGTGGGGGCAGCAGGGTGCCCTGGTTTGCCTGCAGATGGATGGTCCATCATGATCTTTCTTTCTAGGGTTCTTCTTGGTCCAGAGGGCCGGTCCACACGTGGGTGAGTCCTTCCCCAAACCTTAGGGTGTCATCTCCCCACATAAGAGGATTTTCCTGAAATGGGAGGGAAGTCCTGTCGGGGAGTCTCTCATAAACTAGGAAGAGGGGACCCTCGGATGCTCGGCCCACATTTCTGACCTTGCCCTCCCCGGCCTTTCTTTCCCTTTCCTGAGTCAAGCTCTGTGAAGACTGGGGTGAGACTAGGGTGCTCCAAGATGGGTGTGCAGGGAGGAAGTGGTGTCAGCAGCAGAGAAAGAGAGGGAAGCAGTGCTAGGAACAGCAGGTCCTCTGAGGACAAAGGTGTAACTCACACCCTCCAGCGTTTCCGTGATGGTAGGGGCTGCAGTGTGGCTGTGGTCTTTCTACCAGAAAAGGTGAGGAAACCACAGCCATGGCCCTGACATTCCAAATCCTCTGATGGGGGCTCAGTTCATCAATTGGCTGATATTCCATTCACATAGGACTTGCCCTCCATGCCGTGTCTACTTTGTGTTGTTTTATATGAGTAATTTTGCAGTATTAAAATCTAGTAAGAGTTGCTTCTCCAGCACTTGCTCAAAGTTCTCAGCTGACACTTGTTGTAGGGAGACGCCATGTCTATGCAGGATGGGTCCTTCCTGTAGCCCTGGGCACCCAGGTGTGGTAGGAGCCTTAGAAAGTGGAAATGGGGAGAATCTTCTGGGCACTGGGAGTGAGGGGCGGCTCCACATCCTCCTCTCTAAGGCAGTGCCTCCTTCTCCCCCAGGTGGTCAGGACAAGCCCTTCCTGTCTGCCTGGCCCAGCGCTGTGGTGCCTCGAGGAGGACACGTGACTCTTCGGTGTCACTATCGTCATAGGTTTAACAATTTCATGCTATACAAAGAAGACAGAATCCACGTTCCCATCTTCCATGGCAGATTATTCCAGGAGAGCTTCAACATGAGCCCTGTGACCACAGCACATGCAGGGAACTACACATGTCGGGGTTCACACCCACACTCCCCCACTGGGTGGTCGGCACCCAGCAACCCCGTGGTGATCATGGTCACAGGTCAGAGGCTTTCCGTCTGGGCTTCTCACTGTCCCACCTCCTGAATCCCAGAGCTTCTGGTGGGGGTGTCCGTCAGGGTCCCATCACCCAGGCCCTGACTGTATTTGGGGTCAAGGGAGATTGAATACAGGGGAAATGGGTGCTGTGGTGGGAAGAATCACTGTCCCCAATGATGGCTACATTGTAATCCCTGGAGCCTGTGACTATTTATGTTACAGGGCAGGGGACTGAAGGGGAAGGTGGAGCTCAGGTTGTTGATGAGTTGACCTTGAGATGGGGAGACAGCCTGGACTGTCCCACTGGGCTCAGTGTAATCACAAGGGTCCACATGAGAGGTGGAGGAAGAGGGGAGTGGGGATTAGAGCAGTGTAGTGGGAGGGAGACGCTATCAGCCACTGCGGGCTTTGAAGGTGGAGGAAGACCACTAGTCACAGAATGCAGGTGGCCTCTAAGGGCTGGAGAAGTCAAGAGAACTGATTCGCTGATTCTCCAGAGGGAACGCAGCCCTGTAGACACCTTGATTTCAGCACAGGGAGAACTGGATCCAATTTCTGTCTCCAGAAGTGGAAGGGGTCAGTGTGTTCTCTCCCGCTGCCATGTTTGTGGTAATTTTCTGCAGCAGCAACAGGAAACCAACACAGGAACCCAGGTCAAGGACAAGTTAGGAAACCAAACAAGGATAGCCAGATGTGGTGGTGGGCGCGAGTAATCCAACGACTGGGGAGGCTGAGGCAAGAGAATCACTTGAACTGGGGATTTGTTCAAAAGAGATTGATTCAGGCTGCTAAGAGCCTGGACATGCAGCCTCTCCTCTTCCACCCCCACATAGACAGCAGGAAAGAGATTAGTGGGAAACAGATACAACAGCCCAAGAGATGAGGCTGTCTTCACAGTGGCAAGGGAGTCAGGGGCTACTGGAGACAGAGGGACAGAGAAGAGGGAGGAAGACAGATGGAGGCACCTGCACCAGGGGATATGGGCACAGAAAAGACACGGAGATGCAGAGAGGGAGGAGAGAGACAGACACGGGGAGGGGAACCCTCACTCATTCCAGGTGCCATGGATGGGATGATAAAGAGAGATGCCTTCTAAACTCACAACTTCTCTTTCTAGGAAACCACAGAAAACCTTCCCTCCTGGCCCACCCAGGTCCCCTGGTGAAATCAGGAGAGAGAGTCATCCTGCAATGTTGGTCAGATATCATGTTTGAGCACTTCTTTCTGCACAAAGAGGGGATCTCTAAGGACCCCTCACGCCTCGTTGGACAGATCCATGATGGGGTCTCCAAGGCCAATTTCTCCATCGGTCCCATGATGCTTGCCCTTGCAGGGACCTACAGATGCTACGGTTCTGTTACTCACACCCCCTATCAGTTGTCAGCTCCCAGTGATCCCCTGGACATCGTGGTCACAGGTGAGAGTGTCTAGACATTGTTCTCATTGTCACTGGGACACAGAGTGAATGATCCAGGACTTGGAACCCCCAGGTGGTCATGAGGAAGATAAGTGTGGGATTCTTATGGAAAGAGAGTGACTTGGTGAGGTCTGTACCAACAGAGACAGAGAAACAGGAGACATAAGTACAGAACAGGTGTCATAACAGAGGACAGACACAGGGGCCATACAGGGAGGTAGAAAAGAGAGAAAGAGGTAAAGGAGACACTCAGACAGACAGACATGTCCCAGAGAGAGGTGTCCTTCCATGCTGACTTTGCTCAGAGACCTGGCACAGGTTAGAAGTTTCATTTCTGTTTTACCTCCACAAAGTGTTCCTACCAGAAGAACCCAAGGACACCCATATTTCTGACCTGAGTTGGGCCCTGTGGCCTCAGGCCTTGTGCCACCTACAGATGCCGTGTTTATTCTGACACCTCTGCCTTCCATGCAATGGAGAGTAATCATCCCAGGATATCATGGCCCCTGAACACCAACCCCTGTATGCTGTGTGAACTTGGGGTCCCCAGACTGGATTCTGAGGCTCATATTCCAAATAATCCCACATATGATAGGATCGCTGAGAGACACAGAGAAAAATCAGGGACACCAAAAAACAAAGACATAAACACACACAAAATGAGCCAGAAGAAGGAGATTAAGAGATTCACAGACACATAAAAAGAAAGAAAAGAGGGCAGAATGGAGAGAATGATGGAAAGGAGGAGAGAAAAGCCCCAAAATCAGAACCCTGAGGGAGGGACACAAAGACAGAGAAAGATAAATATGTGGGGATGGATTGCAGAGATTCCAAATAGAACTAGAGAGACTGAGAGGCAGAGAAAGACAAGGAGACGGAGAGAGAGAGATGATAGATGGATAGATAGACGTAGATAGATGATAAATAGGTAGATGATAGATAATGGATTGGTTATAGATACATAGATGATGACTGATAGATGATACATAGAGATGACGATGATGATGATAGACACATAGATATATACATAGATGATACATAAATAGAGACAGAGAGGCAGACAGAGAGGTAATAGAGAGAGAGATAGATGATACATATATAGATAATAGATGATTGATGGATAGATAGACAGATAGACAATTGATAGAGAGATAGATAAGTGATACATAAATATAGATGATAGATAATTTGTAGATAGACACAAAATAGATAAATAGATAGAAATGTGCAGAAAGTTATGAACAAGACAGAAAGTGAGAGACTCAAAATTAAAGAAAAAGGAAGATCAAGTCAACCAATCCAAGGAGGGTCAGAGAGAATAAAACAATCCAAAAAGGGAAAACATACCTCAGGGTGGGGAAGTGAGGTCATAGACCTAGAGAGACAGAAAAGGTAGAAGGAGGAAACAGATATGAAGAGAGATGGGGTGGAGGGTGAGAGAGAGAGAGAGAGCATTAGGTCATAGAGCAGGGGAGTGAGTTCTCAGCTCAGGTATGAGGGGAGCTATGACAAGGAAGAACCTCCCTGAGGAAACTGCCTCTTCTCCTTCCAGGTCCATATGAGAAACCTTCTCTCTCAGCCCAGCCGGGCCCCAAGGTTCAGGCAGGAGAGAGCGTGACCTTGTCCTGCAGCTCCCGGAGCTCCTATGACATGTACCATCTATCCAGGGAGGGGGGAGCCCATGAACGTAGGCTCCCTGCAGTGCGCAAGGTCAACAGAACATTCAAGGCAGATTTCCCTCTGGGCCCTGCCACCCACGGAGGGACCTACAGATGCTTCGGCTCTTTCCGTCACTCTCCCTACGAGTGGTCAGACCCGAGTGACCCACTGCTTGTTTCTGTCACAGGTGAGAAAAGCCCATATCTCTCTCATGTCCTATGATCCTAAATCCTTAGCTAAGGAGCTTCCTGCTGATGATGGAGAAAAGCATGGACAGATGCAGAGAGAAGACACAGCAGGTGTGAGGGCGGAGTCAGGGCGCAGGATGGCAGACAGGGCACCTCCAAACCCTCCTTCATGGCCTGCATGGAGGCCTCCGATCAGGGCTCCAGGCACCCAGGCAGATGGAGAAAGCGGTCAGGACAGACCCAGAGAAGGGGAGACTGGGCTTAGTTTGGGGAGATCAGAGGTTCCCTCAGCCCCTCAATCTTATCCATTTCCCAGAAGCCCATCATGGCCTCTCACCCACACAGAGAGATATCATCACCAGCAACCCCTACACCCTTTTCTTTTCATTTTCAAAAATATTTATTGAGGTTAAATGTAACTATATAATTTACCACCTTTACCATTTTTAAAAGTAAAATCTAGTGGTCATAAATACCTTTATATGCTGGGTGTGGTGGTTCACGGTTGTAATCTCGGCGCTTTGAGAGGCCAAGGAAGGTGGATCATTTAAGATCAGGAACTCGAGATCACCCTGGCCAACATGTGGGAAATTCATCTTTACTAAACAGACAAGAAAAATTAGCCGAGCATGCTGGCATGCACCTGTAGTCCTAGCTACTTGGGAGGCTGAGGCAGGAGAAGCACTTAAACCCAGGAGGCAGAGGTTGCACTGAGCCGAGATCATGCCGCTGCACTGCAGCCTGGGAGACAGAGAGAGACTCTGTTTCTAAATAAATAAATACATCTATATTCTTTTTTTTGTTACCCTCCACCCTTCCCTTCCTGGCCTCTGGTGTCCACCATTGTATTCTCCACCTTCATGAGATCCACCTTTTATCTCCTGCATGTGGGTGAGAAATGGGAATCTTTGTAATGACCTCCAGTTCCATCCATGTGGCTGCAAATGACAGGATGTTATTGTTTCTATGGATGAGTAGTCTCCACTGTGTGTGTGTACCACAGTTCTCTATCCATTCACCCACTGATGGGCAGGTAGGTTGACTCCACATCTTGGCTACTGTGAACAGTGCTGGAACAGTCATATGAGTGCAGATATCACTTCGATACACTGATGTCCTTTCCTTTGGATATAAACCCAGTAGTGAAATTGCTGGACACTATGAAAGTTCTCTTTTTTTTTTTTTCTTTTTTGAGAAAGAGTTTCCCTCCTTAGTCCAAGCTGGAGTCTAAGTGGTGAGATCTTGGCTCATTGCAACCTGTGCCTCCTAGGTTCAAATGATTGTCCTGACTCAGCCTCCCTAGTAGCTGTGATTACAGGTGCACGCCACCATGCCTGGCTAATTTTTGTATTTTTTTAGCACAGACGGGATATCCCAATTTTGGGCAGGCTGCTCTCAAACTCCTGACCTCAAGTGAGGTGCCTGCCTCGGTTTCCCAAAGTGCTGAAGTTACAGGCATAAGCCACTATGCCCAGCCTCCTTTTAGTTTTTTAAAGAATTTCCATACTTTTCTCCATAATAGTTGTACTAATTTACATTCCTACCAACAGGGTACCAGGGTTCTCCTTTCTCTACCATCTTGCCAGCATTTGTTTTGCCTGTCTTGCAGTAAAAGCCATTTTACTTTACTTTATTTTATTTATTTATTTATGTTGAGATGGAGTTTCACTCATAGTCTCCCAGGCTGGAGTGCAAGGGTGTGATCTCAGCTCACTGCAACCTCCGCCTCCCGCGTTCAACTGATTCTCCTGCCTCAGCCTCCAAAGTAGCTGGGATTACAGGCATGTGCCACCACGCCTAGCTAATTTTTGTATGTTTAGTAGAGAGGGAGTTTCTCCATGATGGTCAGGCTGGTCTCCCGACCTCAGGTGATCCGCCCACCTCCGCCTCCTGAAGTGCCGGAATTACAGGCGTGAGCCACCGGCCTAAAAGGCATTTTAATGGGATGAGATGAAAACTCATCGCGATTGTAATTTACATTTCTCTGATGATGAGTGATGCCGAGTACTTTTTCATATACGTGATCGCCATTTCTATGTTTTGTTTGTGGAGAAATGTCTCCTCATGTCTTTTGCTCGTTTTTTAATTAAATTGTTTTATTGAGTTGTTTGAGCTTCTTATATTTCCAGTTATTAATCCCGTCTCAGATGAATAGTTTGCAAATATTTGCTCCTATTTTGTCGGTTGTCTCTTCACTTTCTTGGTTTATCTTTTGTGGTGCAGAAGTTGCTTGGTTTGATGTAATCCTAATGGTCTATTTTTTGCTTTGATTACTTGTGTTTTGAAGGTTTTAAACAAAATGTCTTTCGTCAGACAAATGTCTTCCCCATTATTTTCTTCTACATGTTTCATAGGTTCAGGCCTTAGACTCATGTTTTTAATCCATTTTCATTTGATTTTTGTGTATGGTGACAGGTATAGATGCAGTTTTATTCCTCTGCATATAGATATCCAGTTTTCCCCACACCATTTATTGAAAAGACTGTCCTTTCCTGATTGTAAGTTCTCGGCACCTTTGTCAAAGTCCATTAAATGGGCTGGGTATGGTGGCTCACACCTGCAATTCCAGCACTTTGGGAGGCCGAGGCGGGTGGATCACCTGAAGCCAGGAGTTCAAGATCAGGCTGGCCAACAGAGTGAAACCTCGTCTCTACTAAAAATACAAAAATTAGCTGAGCATGGTGACCAGTGCCTGTAATACCACTACTCGGGTGTTTGAGGCAAGAGAATTGCTTGAATCCAGGAAGTGGAGGTTGCATTGAGCTGAGATTGCACCTCTGCACTCCAGCCTGCATGACAGAGCAAGATTCTAACACACACACACACAAAAAAAGCCATTGGATGTAAATGCATGGATTATATCTGTGTTCTCCATTCTGTTTCATTTTTTATGTGCCTTTCTTTATGCCAATGTCATGCTGTTTTGCTTACTACAGCTCTGTAACATATTTCTAAGTCAGGTAGTGTGATGCTCCTGTTTTCTCTTTATACCTTCAAGTCTCAAGACAGTGGGCATCGCACACAAAAATTATGGAGAAGAGGATCCCAAGACTCCCAGGGTCCAACATTAGATAACAGAGTGTTGGCCATGAACCAACCTCAAAGATTTCCATTGAGTAGAGGACAAGCACCCTCATTTCCTCACATCTCTCCTGTCCCATGTTCTAGGAAACCCTTCAAGTAGTTGGCCTTCACCCACAGAACCAAGCTCCAAATCTGGTGAGTAAAGGACCCCTCTTATCTCTGCTTTTGGAAACCTGGGGAGGTGGAAGCCTTGGATGCAAGTGTTGGCTCAAACCTCCCAGCTCTGTGAATGAGGGCCTGTCTTCCACCATCTCTGAACTCCAGACACTCCAACAGTGAAAGGGATCTAGGGCCACCAAAGGACTCAGCGAAGTCTCTTAACCTTTAATGTCCTGCAGGTGAGACCTCCTACAAGCTAGAAGAATGATTGCCAATCTGACATCCTTCTCAGGAAACATGCAGTGTTTTTTCTTCCTGCATTCCTAACTGGAGGATAAATTCCTGGGGACTTGAGAGAGGGAAGGGAAGGGAACATCTGATGAGGGCGAGGTGTTTTAGAGAAGTTCCACTTGCCAAGGAATGAATTACTGTTGGTCATGAAGCAACCCTGGCTGACTCAGCAGAGCAAGAGCCTTGCCGTAACAGAGAACAGAGCTCATGCACGCACACTTCGACTCACTGACTCATTCAGCCACGGCCCCATGCTCAGGCTGTGCAGTTGGAATCCTTTCCTATTGTTGCCATAACAAATTTCCACAAGATTCGTGGGTGAAAACAAAACGGTTTTTTAATTATCTTACAGTGCTGTAGCTCAAAGTAGGAAGTGCATCTTACTGGGCTAAAATCAAGGTGACAGCAAGGCTGCCTTCCCTCTGAGGATTCCAGGCAAGAATCTGCTTCTCACTTGTCCCAGCTTCTAAAGGCTCCCAGTTCCTTGGCTCCTGGTCCCCTTCCTCCTTCCTCAAAGCCCACAAAGACTGGTCACATCTCACATGGCATCACTCAGACCCTTCTTCCTTACCACACCTCTTTCTCTGAATGCTGCTCTCCCTTCTTCCTTATCTTTTGAAAACTTGGGGATTCTATTGGGTTCACCAAGATGAAAATCCATCATAATCTCCCGGAAATCATTCAGGATACCCTTGTTTTCAGTTCAGCTGACTAGCAACCGTAATTCCATCTGCAATCTTCATTCCTTCTTTCCATGTAAAATAAGATATTCACAAGCTATGGAGGCTAGGACAGGGACATTTTGGGGTGGGACAGCATTCTCCTGCCTTCCACGAACGGTGAACAAGATGCATTTGGCCTCTGCTCTTGGGACACTGATATTGCAGATGGTTAAATGGGAGGACAGAAAATGAATGCACAAGTGGACCAATAAATGAATGATCCATTGGGAAGCATCTGTGCATGAAATCTATTTGTTTGTTCGTTCATTTATTTATTGAGACAGAGTCTCCCTCTGTCTTCCAGGCTACAGTGCAGTGTCACGATCTTGGCTCACTGCAACCTGCGTCTCCTGGATCCAAGTGATTCTCCTGCCTCACCCTCTCGAGTAGCTGGGATTACAGGCAACTGCCACCATGCCCGGCTAATTCTTTTTGTATATTTTTTGTAGAGAGGATGTTTCACCATGTTGGCCAAGCTTGTCTGAAACTCCCAACCTCAAGTGATCCGACCATCTCAGCAACCCAAAGTACTGGGATTACAGGCGTGAGCCACTTTGCCCAGCCAGAATTCAAAATAAATAATAGATAATGCTGAGTGTATAATTTTGGGTGACAGAGAAGGTCTCACTAATCAGATATTTGTGACATTAATGAAAAACACGGATTGAACCCCTGAAAGATTGGCGGAAGGATTTTCCACACACAGCTGTCAGCCGTGAAGGCAGAAAGCTGAAAACAATCTGATGTGGAAGGAAGAGGCTCTGCCTGAAATGCTGGGAATGAGGTGGGGAGAATGACAAGACGACTGTGGAGAGACGGAGAGCACACTGGGTACACAGGAAACTAAGGAGCAACAAGGAGTGTGTGTTTGACACTCACAGCCATTGGATTCACCTCGGGGTAGCCAGGAATCCCTACATGATTAATAGTGACTGACATGAAAATAAGGGAGGCCCAGGTGCGTAACTGGAATCTAGGAGACAGTGGAAAAGGCAATTGCCGCCCCACTGGTGAAATGTGGTGCTGATTTAGACCCTAAGTGGATGAAGCAGATGGATATAAGCTATGTTTGGGAGGTAGAATCATTTGCAGGGAGGGCTTGCTGGGTTTGAGTTTCCTAGTTGTTTAATCCTTGCTAAATTAATTTCTTTCTGAGATTTATTCCTCCTACACATAAATCAATACCTGCCAAAGGAGTGACAGATATATGAGGGGTGGTGGAAATGAAGGGACCTATTATAGCATAGTATACAAGTCTGTGAACGGTGGCTCACTCCTGTAACCCAGCACTGCAGGAGGCTAAGGCCAGTGGATTCCAAGAAGTCAGGAGTTCGAGACCAGCCTGGCCAACATGGAGAAACCCTATCTCTACATGGTGAAACCCTATCTCTCCTAAAAATACAAAAATTAGCCGAGCATGGTGGTGCATCCCTGTAATCCCAGCTCCTGCTCTGGAGGATGAAGCAGGAGAATGACTTCAACCCAGGAGGTGGAGGTTGCAGTGAGTGGAGATCGCATCACTGCACTCCAGCCTGGGTGACACAAGGAGACTCCATCTCAAAAAATAAAAATAAGAAATGCATAAATATAATAAAACACACACGAATGACAAAGGCACCTGAATTCCCATCATCATTTTTCTATTTCTCTATAATTACTTCTTTGATCCTTTATCTTATCCATTAGGCAATCAGCCTAAAACCTCTTCCGTATTTGGCTTTCTGTGAGCATGAGATCATATAGAAAATGTGAAAGCCCGCTGAATCCTCCAGCACAAATCCTGGAATAGAGAAAGTGCTCTGGTCATCACAAAAAAAACTTGCCCCCTCACCCAAATCCCCCATCTCACCCCTACTTCCAATCACCTGTGGAGATACAGATAGATCATGGGGAGGTAAATGCTAATACTCCTTGGAGTGAGTCCAGATCTTGGAATCAGAGATCAGTGCCAGCACTAGCTCCTGCTCCCCTTTCCTACTAATTCACAGGAGGACAGGTGGTATTGAAGCAATAGATAGTCGAGGGGGTGGTCCTTCCCCCAGCCTCTGAGGTAGAACAGCAGCCTAACATGTGTCTCCCGAGATCACAAAGAGTAGCACATTTCACACGGGCTTCAACACTATTTTCTGGCTGTTTGACATAAGAGAATTCTACTTCGCTTTTTTTATATTGATTTCACTTTTGTTTCCTTTTCTTGGAGAATGCAAGTTGTTTAACTCAAGAATGCCGTGGATGTAGAAATCCTAAAGCACATTCGCTGTGTATCAATCCCAGTCCAGTCTTCCCAGAGAAGACTCTAAACACCTCCTGGACTGCACCTGGGCCTATGCCAATTCCTATCACTCACCGTCACTCCAGGGAGACAGAACACACAGAGAATACGTTACATAGGCAGGTTCATTACTAACAGATAAGCAGCGAGTGACAACAGAAGCCTACATTTCAATGTGAGCCAGTTCCCCAAGGCTCAGAAAAGCTGCTCGAGACATGTGGAGTCACCCCATTTGCAGTGTAGCTGGGGGAAGCCAGAAAGCAGCCCAGCCTGGGTTTTGTACCCTGGAGCCACAGGAAGCACTCAGCTAAAGCACTGCATGACGTCCTCCTCCAGGAAGAACAGGAAGACAGCCCAGGCTGTTCTGGGACGATCCTCCTGATCTCAGGACTTTGCTGTCTTAGTCCATTTTTGTTGCTCTAAAGGAACACTTGAGCCTGGGTAACTTCTAAAGAAGAGATTGGTTTGCCTCACCATTCTGCAGGCTGTACTGGAAGCATGGCACCAGCATCTATTTCTTATGATGGCCTCAGGCCGCTCCCACTCTGGCAGAAGGGAAGGAGGGTCTGTCTGTGCAGAGACCACAGAGATCACACGGCAAGAGAGGGAGCAAGGGGGAGGGGGAGCAATGGAGCTTCCAAGCTCTTTTTAACAACCAGCTCTCCAGGAACTAATAGAGAGGGAACTTGCTAACCCCGTCTCCTTGGGACAGCATTGATCTGTTCATGATGGATCCACCTCCATGACCCAAACACCTCCCAAGAGGCCCAACCTCCCACACTGGGGGTTAAATTTCAATGTGAGGTTTGAAGGGGTCAAACATCTCAACTAAAGTAGTTGTATCCTCAGCACGTTCCATGGTTACTATGAGAGCTATAACTGAGAAAGCAGGAGGAAGCTAGGTCTCCCGCCATCTGGGTGCTTGTCCGAAAGAGATGCTGTAAGTGGTTACCTGTCAATCAAGAAATGCAAGACAATTCATATAGAGAAACTGCTATGATTAGCTTCTTACTGGTGTCTCCTCTTCTTCCAGGTAACCCCAGACACCTGCACATTCTGATTGGGACCTCAGTGGTCATCATCCTCTTCATCCTCCTCCTCTTCTTTCTCCTTCATCTCTGGTGCTCCAACAAAAAAAGTAAGTCTCACGGGGCACAGGCCAGAGAGCTCAGGGCCATGTGGGGAAGCAGGATGGGAGCACACAGCTGTGTGTTCCTCACTGGCAGGATGGTCCCTGGCCCAAGACAGGAGCCACAGAGGCAGGACTTTCTAGAGAGAGCACCAGACTCCCTGCCCCTGCCTTCAGCTCACAGACCGTTGCCTGATTCTGAACTGTATCCTCATGTCCCCTGCAGCCACTCACATCCAGGAGAAGGTTCCATGAGAGGCAGAAAGTGGGAGACAGAATCAATGGGATGGGAACTCAGAGCTATTCATGGGATGGGTCCTTGAGCTCAGAGAGATAGAATGTCTGAGTCTGCTGTTGGCAACTGAGGGACCTCAGGCACCTATGGCCTCCCCCTGTTTGTTGGTATCTGCTTATGAAATGAGGACCCAGAAGTGCCCTCCGAGCTCTTTTGTTGACTTCCGTCTCCTACAGATGCTGCTGTAATGGACCAAGAGCCTGCAGGGAACAGAACAGCCAACAGCGAGGTAGGTGCTCCTCGGCCCAGCCTCGTGGCTAGTGTTATTCCCAAACAGTCCTGGAAAACGTGAGCACCCTCCCTCACTCAGCATTTCCCTCCCTCACTCAGCATTTCCCTCTCTCCAGGACTCTGATGAACAAGACCCTGAGGAGGTGACATACGCACAGTTGGATCACTGCGTTTTCACACAGAGAAAAATCACTCGCCCTTCTCAGAGGCCCAAGACACCCCCTACAGATACCATCTTGTACACGGAACTTCCAAATGCTAAGCCCAGATCCAAAGTTGTCTCCTGCCCATGAGCACCACAGTCAGGCCTTGAGGACGTCTTCTAGGGAGACAACAGCCCTGTCTCAAAACCGAGTTGCCAGCTCCCATGTACCAGCAGCTGGAATCTGAAGGCGTGAGTCTTCATCTTAGGGCATCGCTCCTCCTCACGCCACAAATCTGGTGCCTCTCTCTTGCTTACAAATGTCTAGGTCCCCACTGCCTGCTGGAAAGAAAACACACTCCTTTGCTTAGCCCACAGTTCTCCATTTCACTTGACCCCTGCCCACCTCTCCAACCTAACTGGCTTACTTCCTAGTCTACTTGAGGCTGCAATCACACTGAGGAACTCACAATTCCAAACATACAAGAGGCTCCCTCTTGACGTGGCACTTACCCACGTGCTGTTCCACCTTCCCTCATGCTGTTTCACCTTTCTTCGGACTATTTTCCAGCCTTCTGTCAGCAGTGAAACTTATAAAATTTTTTGTGATTTCAATGTAGCTGTCTCCTCTTCAAATAAACATGTCTGCCCTCATTGCTTCAGGTAATGTGACACTGTATTCGCTGAAAGAAACCGCTGTTATCATTACCATGTCCACATAACCCCATCTGTTCTCCGCTGGGTTCTCACCCCTGGATTCTGAGCTTCTGGAAGCAGGGTGGAGCCTCATTTGTCTCTGGGACTCCAATTTCCATCCAAAGATGCAGCACATAGGAGGTTCCAAGGATCGTGAATCACATGAACAAGTGATATTCTTACTCTCTGCAACCTGGAAAGCTGGCAGAGTCATTCCACGATGAAACATTTGTAGAGTCATAAGCCTTGCTAGTCTCATCTCCACGGGGACACATATCAACACATCATATTTCATACTATAAATATACAGTCGCTCCTCCATATCTGTGGGGTTTACAGGTGTTTATTGAACCAAGTGTAAATCAAAAATATTCAGAGAAAATGTCCACAAAGTTTCAAAATGCAAAACTATGTTGAATGGACACAAATGAGGCAGTGTGTAGGCTGTATCAGGAATTATAAGTAATCAAGAGATGATTTCATGTATACAGGAGGATGTGCATGGGTTATATCCAAATGCTGTGTCATTTTATGTAAGAGGCTTGAGCATCTGCAGATTTTGGTACCTGAGTGGAGATCCTGAAACCAATCACCCACGAATAGTAAAGGATGACCGTATATGACTTTTATTTCTCAATTTTAAATATAAATCATAAAAAATGTACAATAACTAGATAAAAAGTAAGAAGTGTTTTTATAGTGTGAGAATAAGTTTAGATTTATTTTTTCCTACGTGTAACCCTTTGGTTTAATATTATTTATTAAGAAGACATTCTATGCCACCTTAAACCACACGGCAGCCTTTGTCAACTCTAAAGGGACTGTGTGTACACGGATGTATTTTAGACACTGTTTCTGCTAAGGGGCTCTCTGTGTCCACACTCTTGAGGATGCTGCACTTCATGTAGCCTTATAAAACCCTTTAAATTTAGTAGCCAGAGCCCTCTAATTTGTTATTATAGGCTACTTGCTATTTTTTTTTCTTGAGGCGGAGTCTTGCTCTGTCGCCCAGGCGGGACTGTAGTGGAGCAATCTCAGCTCACTGCAACTTCCGCCTCCCAGGTTCAGGCGATTCTCGTGCCTCAGCCTCTTGAGTAGCTGGCGTTACAGGTGCCTGCCACCAGGCACGGCTAATTTTTGGATTTTTAGCAGAGACACGGTTTCACTATGTTGGCCAGGCTGCTCTCAATCTCCTCATCTCAGTTGATCCGCCCACCTCGGCTTCCCGACCTGCTGGGGGAAACTTGATTTTCTATAGCATTATGTTACTGGATATTTCTGTAAAATTTAAAATGAGGGAGGCAGAGAGACAGAGAGAGAGCAAACTCCAAAGTTGGGACTCTGGAATCTTGAGTCATGAGACAAATTATAGATAAAACTACAAAAATCCAGAATTTACATGTGTGGTTTTTGCTGATAAAGTACAATTCTAAGATTGTAAATAATTGCATAATCCTTCCCTGGGAATTTAAATCATTTGAACTGGTTCTGCTGTAATACTAGAAATACAAGCATGAACAATTCTAATGGTTTATTAGTCACAATGACTCTGAAAACACTAATAATACCTATTAGATATTTTGCATATTACACAGGAAGAAGAGTTCGAATCTCAGATAAAAACAATAAAAATTCATGAAAAGTCTTTCATGTTAGCACAGATTTTAGGCATCTCATGTTTGGGAGGTTGGATCTAAGACATGTTTTGAGTTGGTCATAGTGAAGGACGCGAGGTGTCAATTCTAGTGAGAGCAATTTCCAGGAAGCCATGTTCCGCTCTTGAGCGAGCACCCACTGGGCCTCATGCAAGGTAGAAAAAGCCTGCGTACGTCACCCTCCCATGATGTGGTCAACATGTAAACTGCATGGGCAGGGCGCCAAATAACATCCTGTGTGCTGCTGAGCTGAGCTGGGGCGCGGCCGCCTGTCTGCACCGGCAGCACCATGTCGCTCATGGTCATCATCATGGCGTGTGTTGGTGAGTCCTGGAAGGGAATAGAGGGAGGGAGCGTGGGGATGGAGATCTGGGCCCAGAGGTGGAGATATGGGCCTGGAGGTGGAGTTATGGGCCTGGAGTGGAGATCTGGGCCTAGAGATGGAGTGATGAGCCTAGAAGTGGAGATCTGCGCCTGGAGTGGAGATCTGGGCCTGGAGTGAAGATCTGGGCCTGGAGTGGAGATATGGGCCTGGAGTGGGGATAGGAACCTGGAGTGGAGAGAGGAACCTGGAGGAGAGATAGGAACCTGGAGGGGAGGTAGGAGCCTAGGGTGGAGATATGGGACTGGAGTGGAGATATGGGACTGGAGTGGAGATATGGGCCTGGAGTGGAGTTATGGGCCTGGAGTGAAGTTATGGGCCTGGAGGTGGAGATACGGGCCTGGAGTGGAGATATGAGCCTGGAGTGGAGATATGGTCCTGGAGTGGAGATATGGGCCTGGAGTGGAGATATGGGTCTGCAGTGGAGTTATGGGCCTGGAGTGAAGTTATGGGCCTGGAGGTGGAGATATGGGACTGGAGTGGAGATATGGGACTAGAGTGGAGATAGGGGCCTGGAGGTGGAGATCTGGGCCTGGAGTGGAGATCTGGGCCTGGAGTGGAGATCTGGGCCTGGAGTGGAGATATGGGCCTGGAGTGGAGATATGGGTCTGCAGTGGAGATATGGGCCTGGAGGTGGAGATATGGGCCTGGAGTGGAGTTATGGGCCTGGAGTGAAGTTATGGGCCTGGAGGTGGAGATATGGGCCTGGAGTGGAGATATGGGACTAGAGTGGAGATAGGGGCCTGGAGGTGGAGATCTGGGCCTGGAGTGGAGATATGGCCCTGGAGTGGAGATATGGGCCTGGAGTGGAGATATGAGCCTGGAGTGGAGATATGGCCCTGGAGTGGAGATATGGGCCTGGAGGTGGAGATATGGGCCTGGAGTGGAGTTATGGGCCTGGAGTGAAGTTATGGGCCTGGAGGTGGAGATATGGGCCTGGAGTGGAGATATGGGACTAGAGTGGAGATACGGGCCTGGAGGTGGAGATCTGGGCCTGGAGTGGAGATATGGCCCTGGAGTGGAGATATGGGCCTGGAGTGGAGATATGAGCCTGGAGTGGAGATATGGCCCTGGAGTGGAGATATGGGCCTGGAGTGGAGATATGAGCCTGGAGTGGAGATATGGCCCTGGAGTGGAGATATGGGCCTGGAGTGGAGATATGGGCCTGGAGTGGACATATGGGTCTGGAGTGGAGATACGGGCCTGGAGGTGGAGATATGGGCCTGGAGTGGAGATATGGGCCTGGAGGTGGTGATATGGGCCTGGAGTGTAGACATGGGCCGAGTGGAGATATGGGTCTGGAGTGGAGATATGGGCCTGGAGTGGAGATATGGGACTGGAGTGGAGATATAGGCATGGGGTGGAGACATGGGCCGGGAGTGGAGATATGGGACTGGAGTGGAGATACGGGCGTGGGGTGGAGATATGTGCCTGGAGGTGGAGATATGGGCGTGGGTTGGAGATATGGGCCTGGAGTGGAGATATGGGCGTGGGGTGGAGATATGGGTCTGGAGTGGAGACATGGGCATGGGGTGGAGATATGGGCCTGGTGTGTAGATATGGGCCTGGAGTGGAGATATGGCCCTGGAGTGGAGATATGGGCCTGGAGTGGAGATCTGGGCCTACGGTGGAGATATGGGCCTAGGATGGGGATATGGGCCTGGAATGGAGATATGGGCCTGGGTGTGGAGATATGGGACTGGAGTGGAGATATGGGCCTGATGTGGAGATATGGGCTTGGAGTGGAGATATGATCCTGGAGTGTAGTTATGGGCCTGGAGGTGGAGATCTGGGCCTGGGGTGGAGATATGGGCCTGGAGTGGAGATATGGGACTGGAGAGGAGATATGGGACTGGAGTGGAGATATGGGCCTGGAGTGGAGATATGGGCCTGGATTGGAGATATGGGCCGAGGGTGGAGATCTGAGCCTGGATTGGAGATGTGGGCCCGGATTGGCTATATGGGTCTAGGGTGGAAATATCGGCCTGGAGTGGAGATATGGGCCTGGAGTGGAGATATGGGCTTGGGGTGGGGATATGGGCCTGGAGGCTGGGTCTCTGTACAGCCGAGAGCACTGTTCTTGGGTGCAGGTAGGCACTGATGGTGAGTTTACCTTCGGCCCAGGAAGGGGCTGGCTATCAAGACTCACAGCCCAGTGGGGGCAGCAAGGAAGGCCTTGTTTGCCTGCAAATGGATCTTCCATCATGATCTTTCTTTCCAGGGTTCTTCTTGCTGCAGGGGGCCTGGCCACAGGAGGGTAAGTCCTTCTCCAAACCTTAGGGTGTCATCTCCCCACATAAGAGGATTTTCCTGAAACGGGAGGGAAGTCCTGTCAGGGAGTCTCTCATAAACTAGGAAGAGGGGACCCTGGGGTGCTCGGCCCACAGTTCCGACCTTGCCTCCCTGGCCTCTCAACCCCTTGGCAGAGTCAAGTTGTGTGGGGACCAGGGTTGGACTAGGGTGTTCAAAGCTGGGTTGTGTGGTGGGGAAGTGGTAGGAACAGCAGATCCTCTGAGGACAAAGGTGTTACTCACACACTTCAGCGTTTCCATGACGGTAGGGGCTGCAGTGTGGCTGCTGTCATTCTACCAGAAGAGGTGGGAAACCACAGCCATGGCCCTGACATTCCAAATCCTCTGATGGGGGCTAAGTTTTTTATTTTCATTCAGGCAACTGCTGATATTCCATTCTCAAAGGACATGCCCTCCACTTCATGTCTACCCTGTGTTGTTTTATGTCAGTAATCTTACAGTATTAAAATCTAGTAGGAGTCTCTTACTCAGCACTTGCTCAAAGTTCTCAGCTGACACTTTTGTTGTACGGAGACACCTTGTCTTTGTGGGATGGGTCCTTCCTTTAGCCCTAGGCACCAAGGTGTGATAGCAGCCATAGAAATGTGGAAAGTGGGGAGAATCTTCTGAGCACAGGGAGGGAGGCACAGCTCCACATCCTCCTCTCTAAGGCGGCGCCTCCTTCACCCCAAGGTGGTCAGGACAAGCCCTTGCTTTCTACCTGGCCCAGCCTTGTGGTGCCTCCAGAACATGTGACTCTTCAGTGTCACTCTAATCTTGGGTTTAACAACTTCAGTCTGTACAAGGATGATGGGGTGCCTGTCCCTGAGCTGTACAACAGAATATTCTGGAAAAGCCTTTTCATGGGCCCTGTGACCCCGTCACATGCAGGGACCTATAGATGCCGGGGTTCACACACACACTCCCCCAGTGGGTGGTCGGCACCCAGCAACCCCCTGGTGATCATGGTCACAGGTCAGAGGGCTCCTGTCTGGGATTCTCCTTGTCCCACCTCCTGAATCCCAGAGCTTCTGGTAGGCATGTCCTTGAGGGTCCCATCACGCAGGCCCTAACTGTATTTGGGGTAAAGGGGGATTGAATACAGGGAAATGGGTGCTGTGGTGGGAAGAATAAGTGTCCCCAGTGATGACTGCATTCTAATCCCTGGAGTCTGTGACTATTTATGTTATAGGGGAAGGGACTGAAGGGGAAGATGGAGCTCAGGTTGTTGATGAGTTGACCTTGAGATGGGGAGACAGCCTGGACTGTCCCGGTGGGCTCAATATAATCACAAGTGTCCACATGAAAGGAGGAGGAAGAGGAGAGTGGGGATTAGAGCAGCGTAGTGGGAGACTCCATTAGCTTTGAAGGTGGATGAAGGCCATAAGCCATGAATGCAGGTGGCCTATAGAGGCTGGGAAAGTCAAGTAACTGATTCTCCTGAGTCTCCAGAGGGAACACAGCCCTGCAGATGCCTTGATTTTAGCCCTCGAAAAACAGGGTCCGCTTTCTGTCTCCAGAATCGGAGGGGGTCAGTGTGCTCTCTCCTGCTGCCATGCTTCTGATAATTTTCTACAGCAGCAACAGGAAACCAACACTGGAACCCAGGTCAAGGACAAGTTAAGAAAAGACACAAGGATAGCCAGGCATGGTGGCAGGTGCATGTAATCCTAGCGACTCGGGAGGCTGAGAGCAGGAGAATCGCTTGAACCCAGGAGACAGAGGTTGCAGTGAGCGTAGACCACACCACTTCACTCCAGCCTGGGTGAAGGAGTGAGACTCTGTCTCCAAAATTAATTAATTAATTAAAGAAACCAAACAAAGAGAAGGTTGGCTACACCGAGATCAGCAAGGGTGGGATGATGATGCCACCACCAGGCTCCATCCACATAGGGAGGGGTTGATACTCCTCAAATCAGCACGAGGAGCCAGCCTATGGAAACTGGCACCATGGAGAAGGCACAGACATGGCAAGAGTGGCTCCCAGTCCCCACCAGGAACAGGGTGTGTGGACACTGGTGCCTGCCTTACTGATCAGTTCATACCTCCTGCCAAGGATTCCAATTCGTCCAAAAGAGATTGAACCAGGCTGCTAAGAGCCGGGACGTGCAGCCTATCCTGCTTCCTCTTCCACTCCCACATAGACAGTAAGAAAGACATTAGTGTGAAATAGATACAACAGCCCAAGAGATGAGGCTGAGCCCAGTGGGAAGGGAATCACAGCTACTAGAGACAGAGGGACAGAGAAGAGGGAGGGAGACAGATGGAAGGACCTGCACCAGGAGTTATGGGCACAGAAAAGAACATGAAGACACAGAGAGGAAGCAGAGAGACAGACACCAGCGAAGGGAAGTCTCACTCATTCCAGGTGCCATGGATGGGATGATAAAGAGAGACACCTTCTAAACTCACAACCTCTCTTCCTAGGAGTCCACAGAAAACCTTCCTTCCTGGCCCTCCCAGGTCACCTGGTGAAATCAGAAGAGACAGTCATCCTGCAATGTTGGTCGGATGTCATGTTTGAGCACTTCCTTCTGCACAGAGAGGGGAAGTTTAACAACACTTTGCACCTCATTGGAGAGCACCATGATGGGGTTTCCAAGGCCAACTTCTCCATTGGTCCCATGATGCCTGTCCTTGCAGGAACCTACAGATGCTACGGTTCTGTTCCTCACTCCCCCTATCAGTTGTCAGCTCCCAGTGACCCTCTGGACATGGTGATCATAGGTGAGAGTGTCCAGACATTCTTCTCATTGTCATTGGGATGCAGAGTGAATGATCCAGGACTTGGAGACCCAGGTGGTTGTAAGGAAGATGAGCTTGGTATTCTTATGGAGAGAGACTGACTTGGTGAGGTCTGTGCCAACAGAGACAGAGAAACAAGAGACACAAGTACAGACCAGGTGTCATAACAGAGGACAAACACAGGGGCCATACCGGGAGTTAGAAAAGACAGAAAGAGTTAAAGGAGACAGACAGACATGTCCCAGACAGAGGTGTCCTTCCATGCTGACTTTGCTCAGAGACCTGGCACAGGTTAGAAGTTTCATTTCTGTTTTACCTCCACAAAGTGTTCTCTACCAGGAGAACCCAAGGACACCCATATTTCTGACCTGAGTTGGGCCCTGTGGCCTCAGGCCTTGTGGCACCTACAGATGCCATGCTTATTCTGACACCTCTGACTTCCATGCAATGGAGAATAATCGTCCCAAAATATCATGGCCCCAGAACACCAACCCCTGTATGCTGTGTGAACTTGTGGTCTCCAGACTGGATTCTGAGGCTCACATTCCAAATAACCCCACATATCACATATGAGAGGATCACTGAGAAGCACAGAGAGAAATCAGGGACACCAAAAAGCAAAGACATAAACACACAGAGAAAGAGCCAGAGGAAGGAGATTGAGAGACTCACAGACACATAAAGAGAGAGAAGAGGGCAGAGAAGTGGAGAGAATGATGGAAGAGAGCAGAGAAAACCACTAAAATTAGAGTCCTGAGGGCGAGGCACAAGGGCATAGAAAGATGGAGATGTGGGGATGAATTGCAGAGATTCCAAAGAGAACTAGAGAGACCGAGAGGCAGAGCAAGACAGATGATAGATGGATAGATACAGATAGATGATGGATAGATATAGATAGATGATATATAGGTAGATGATAGATAATAGGTTATAGATACATAGATGATGATTGATTGATTCATTAATAGATGATACATAGAGATGATGATGATGAAGATAGATGGATAGATAATACATAGAGATAGAGAGGAAGACAAAGAGAGAAATAATAGAGAGAGAGAGATGATACATATATATAGATAATAGATGATTGACGGATAGACAATTGATAGATAAATAGATGATATATAGATATAGATGACAGGTAGAGAATTTGTAGATAGGCACCGAATAGATAAATAGATGGATTGATAGATAATAGATAGAAATATGCAGAAAGTTATGAACGGGACACAAACTGAGAAACTCAGAGTTAAAAAAAGTAACATCAAGTCAACCAATCCAAGGAGAGCCAGAGAGAATAAAACAATCCAAAAAAGGAAAACATAACTAGAGGTAGGGAAGTGAGGTCAGAGACCTACAGAGACAGAGAAGGTGGAAGGAGGAAATAGACATGAAGAGAGATAGGGTGGAGGGTGAGACAGAGAAAGAGAGCATTAGGCCATAGAGCAGGGGAGTGAGTTCTCAGGTCAGGTGTGAGGGGAGCTGTGACAAGGAAGATCCCCCCTGAGGAAACTGCCCCTTCTCCTTCCAGGTCTATATGAGAAACCTTCTCTCTCAGCCCAGCCGGGCCCCACGGTTCAGGCAGGAGAGAATGTGACCTTGTCCTGCAGCTCCCGGAGCTCCTATGACATGTACCATCTATCCAGGGAAGGGGAGGCCCATGAACGTAGGCTCCCTGCAGTGCGCAGCATCAACGGAACATTCCAGGCCGACTTTCCTCTGGGCCCTGCCACCCACGGAGGGACCTACAGATGCTTCGGCTCTTTCCGTGACGCTCCCTACGAGTGGTCAAACTCGAGTGATCCACTGCTTGTTTCCGTCACAGGTGAGGAAACCCCATATCTGTCCCATGTCCTATGATCCTAGAGCCTTAGCTGAGGAGCTTCCTGCTGATGATGGAGAGAAGCATGGACAGATGCAGAGAGAAGACGCAGCATGCCTGTGAGGGAGGGATCAGGGCGCAGGATGGCACACACAGCACCTCCAAACCCTCCTGCATGGCCTGCATGGAGGCCTCCGATTAGGGCTCCAGAAACCCAGGCAGATGTAGAAAGCGGTCAGGAGAGACCCAGAGAAGGGGAGACTGGGCTCAGTTTGGGGAGATCAGAGGTTCCCTCAGCCCCTCAACCTTACCCATTTCCCAGAAGCCCTTCCTGGCCTCTCACCCACACAGAGATGTCATCACCAGCAACCCCTACATCCTTTTCTTTTTGTTTGAAAAAATATTCATTGAGGTTAAATATACCTATATAGCTTACCACTTTTAACATTTTTTTTTTTTTGAGGTGGAGTCTAGCTCTGTCTCCTATGCTGGAATGCAGTGGCACAATCTCAGCTCACTGTAACCTCCGCCTCCTGGGTTCAAGCGATTCTCCTGCCTCAGCCACCTGAGTAGCTGGTACTACAGGCGCCCATCACCACGCCGGGCTACTTTTTGTATATTTAGTAGAGAGGGGGTTTCACCATGTTGGTCGAGCTGCTCTGGAACTCCTGACCACGTGATCCACCCGCCTCAGGCTCCCAAAGTGCTGGGATTACAGGCATGAGCCACCGCGCCCGGCCACGTTTACCAATTTTAAGTGTAAGGTCTAGTGGTCATAAATACATACATATAAATTTTTTGTTTGTTTGTTTTATCCTCCACCCTTTTCTTCCTGGCCTCTGGTAGCCACCATTCTACTCTCTATCTTCATGAGATCCACCTTTTAGCTCCTGTATATGGGTGAGAAATGAGAATATTTGTAATGACTTCCAGTTCCATCCATGTGGCTGCAAATATCAGGATGTTATTCTTTCTATGGATGAGTAGTCTCCGCTGTGCGTATGTACTACATTCTCTCTATCCATTCATCCACTGATGGGCAGGTAGGTTGACTCCACATCTTGGCTACTGTGAAGAGTGCTGCACCAATCATACGAGTGCAGATATCACTTCGATACATTGATTTACTTTCCTTTGGATATAAACCCAGTAGTGAAATTGCTGGATACTATGAAAGTTCTCTTTTTAGTTTTTCGTTTGTTGTTTTGTTTTTGTTTTTGAGACAGTTTCCCTCTGTGCCCAGGCTGGAGTACAAGTGATGTGATCTTGGCTCATTGCAACCTCCGCCTCCTGGGTTCAAATGATTTTCCTGCCTCAGCCTCCCTAGTAGCTGGGATTACAGGTGCACGCCACCATGCCGGGATACTTTTTGGTTTTTTTTAGTGTACATGGGGTTTCCCCAGGTTGGCTAGGCTGCTCTCAAACTCATGACCTCAACTGAGGTGCCCGCCTCGGTCTCCCAAAGTGCCGGGATTACAGGCATGATCCACTTCATCCAACCTCTTTTTAGTTCTTTAAAGGACTTCCATACTTTTCTCCGTAATGGCTGTACTAATTTACACTCCTACCAACAGGGTACCAGGGTTCTCCTTTCTCTACCACCTTGCCAGCATTTGTTTTGCCTGTCTTGCAGCTAAAAGCCATTTTATTTTATTTCATTTTATTTTGAGATGGAGTTTCGCTCTTGTCACCCAGGCTGGAGTGCAGTGGTGCGATCTCGGCTCACCGCAACCTCCACCTCCCAGGTTCAAGCGATTCTCCTGCCTCAGCCTCCCGAGTAGCTGGAATTACAGGCACACACCACCACGCCCGACTAATTTTTGTATTTTTAGTAGAGACAGCGTTTCTCCATGTGGGTCAGACTGGTCTCAAACTCCCGACCTTATGAGATTCGCCCACCTCGGGCTCTCAGAGTTCTAGGATGACAGACGTGAGCCACCTCGCCCGGCCTAAAAGCCATTTTAATGGGGTGAGATGAAAACTCACTTTGATTTTAATTCGCGTTTCTCTGATGATGAGTGATACTGAGCACTTTTTCGTATGTGGGGAAATTTCATGTCTTTTGCTCCTTTTTCAATTAAATCATTTGTTTTATTGAGTTGTTTGAGCTTCTTATACTTCTAGTTATTAATCCCGTCTCAGATGCATAGTTTGCACATATTTGCTCCCAATCTGTGGGTTGTCTCTTCACTTTGTTGGTTTATTTTTAGCGGTGCAGAAGTTGCTTAGTTTGAGGTAATCCCAATGGTCTATTTTTGCTTCGATTACTTGTGTTTTGAAGGTTTAAAACAAAATGTCTTCCTTCAGACAAATGTACTGGAGCATTTCCCCAATATTTTCTTCTACGTGTTTCACAGGTTCAGGCCTTAGACTCACATCTTTAATCCACTTTCATTTGATTTTTGTGTATGGTGACAGGTAGAGGTGCAGTTTCATTCCTCTGCATGTAGATGTCCAGGTTTCCCTGCACTGTTTATTGAAAAAACTGTCCTTTCCTGATTGTGAGTTCTTGGCACCTTTGTCAAAGTCCATTGGATGGGCTGGGCATGGTGGCTAACACCAGCAACTTCAGCACTTTGGGAGGCCAAGGCTGGTGGATCACCTGAGGACAGGAGTACAAGATTACTCTGGCCGACGTGATGAAACATCGTCTCCACTAAAAATATAAAAATTAGCTGAGCATGGTGGTCAGCACCTGTAATACTACTACTCAGGAGTTTGAGGCAAGAGAATTGATTGAACCCAGGAGGCTGAGGTTGCAGTGAACCGAGATTGCACCTCTGCACTCCAGCCTGGGTGACAGAGCAAGACTCCATCTCAAAAGAAAAAATAAAAAAAATTGGATGTAAATGCATGGATTATATCTGTGTTCTTCATTCTGCTCCGTTGTTCTATGTGCCTTTCTTCATGCCAACATCATGCTGTTTTGCTTACTACAGCTCTGTAACATATTTTGAGATCAGGTAGTGTGATGCTCCTGTTTTCTCTTTATACCTTGAAGTCTCAAGACAGTGGGCGTCACATACAAAAATTATGGAAGAAAGGATCCCTGGACTCCCAGGGCCCAATGTTAGATAACAGAGTGTTGGCCATGAACCAAACTCAAAGATTTCCACTGAGTAGAGGACAGACACCCTCATTTCCTCACCTCTCTCCTGTCTCATGTTCTAGGAAACCCTTCAAATAGTTGGCCTTCACCCACTGAACCAAGCTCCAAAACCGGTGAGTACAGGACCCTCTTATATCCGCTTTTGGAACCCTGGGGAGGTGGAAACCTTGGATTCAGGCGTTGACTCAGCATCTCACAGCTCTGACATTGTACGCCTGTCTTCTACCATCTCCGAACTCCAGATACTCCAACAGCGAAAGGGATCTGGGCCCAACACAGGGCTCAGTGAAATCTCTTCATCTCTCATTTTATGGAGCTGAGACCTCCTACAAGCTAGAAGAATGATTGCCAATCTGACATCCTTCTCAGGAAAAACGCAATGTTTGTTCTGCTTGCATTCCTAACTGGAGGATAAATTCCTGGGGGCTTGAGAGAGGGAAGGGAAGCGAACATCTGATGAGGGCGAGGTGTTTTAGAGAAGTTCCACTTGCCAAGGAATGAGCTCCTGTTGGTCATGAAACAACCCTGGCTGACTCAGCAGAGCAAGAGCCTTGCCGTAACAGAGAACAGAGCTCATGCACGCACACTTTGACTCACTGACTTATTCAGCCACGGCCCCATGCTCAGGTTGTGCAGTGTGGAAGCTTTTCCTATTGTTGCCATAACAAATTTCCACAAGATTCGTGGGTGAAAACAAAACGGTTATTTAATTATCTTACAGTGCTCTAGCTCAAAGCATGAAGTGCATCTCACTGGGCTAAAATCAAGATGACAGCAAGCCTGCCTTCCCTCTGAGGATTCCAGGCAAGAATCTGCTTCTCACTTGTCCCATCTTATAAAGGCTCCCAGTTCCTTGGCTGCTGGTCCCTTTCCTCCTTCCTCAAAACCCACAAAGACTGGTCACATCTCACATGGCATCACTCAGACCCTTCTTCCTTACCACACCTCTTTCTCTGAATGCTGCTCTCCCTTCTTCCTCATCTTTTGAAAACTTGGGGATTCTATTGGGTTCACCAAGATGAAAATCCGTCATAATCTCCCGGAAATCATTCAGGATACCCTTGTTTTAAGTTCAGCTGATTAGCAACCATAATTCCATCTGCAATCTTCATTCCTCCTTTCCATGTAAAATAACATATTCACAAGCTATGGAGGCTAGGACAGGGACATTTTGGGGTGGGACAGCATTCTCCTGCCTTCCACAAATGGTGAACAAGATGCATTTGGCCTCTGCTCTTGGGACACTGATATTGCAGATGGTTAAATGGGAGGACAGAAAATGAATGCACAAGTGGACCAATAAATGAATGATCCATTGGGAAGCATCTGTGCATGAAATCTATTTGTTTGTTTGTTCGTTTGTTTATTGAGACAGAGTCTCCCTCTGTCTTCCAGGCTACAGTGCAGTGTCACGATCTTGGCTCACTGCAACCTGCGTCTCCTGGATCCAAGTGATTCTCCTGCCTCACCCTCTCGAGTAGCTGGGATTACAGGCAACTGCCACCATGCCCGGCTAATTCTTTTTGTATATTTTTTGTAGAGAGGATGTTTCACCATGTTGGCCAAGCTTGTCTGAAACTCCCAACCTCAAGTGATCCGACCATCTCAGCAACCCAAAGTACTGGGATTACAGGCGTGAGCCACTTTGCCCAGCCAGAATTCAAAATAAATAATAGATAATGCTGAGTGTATAATTTTGGGTGACAGAGAAGGTCTCACTAATCAGATATTTGTGACATTAATGAAAAACACGGATTGAACCCCTGAAAGATTGGCGGAAGGATTTTCCACACACAGCTGTCAGCTGTGAAGGCACAAAGGTGAAAACAATCTGATGTTGAAGGAAGAGGCTCTGCCTGAAATGCTGGGAATGAGGTGGGGAGAATGACAAGATGACTGTAGAGAGATGGAGAGCACTCTGGGTACACAGGAAACTAAGGAGGAACAAGGAGTGTGTGTTTGACACTCACAGCCATTGGATTCACCTCGGGGTAACCAGGAATCCCTACATGATTAATAGTGACTGACAAGAAAATAAGGGAGGCCCAGGTGCGTAACTGGAATCTAGGAGACTGTGGAAAAGGCAATTGCCGCCCCACTGGTGAAATGTGGTGCTGATTTAGACACTAAATGAATGAAGTAGATGGATATAAGATATGCTTGTGAGGTAGAATCATTGGCTGGAAAGGCTTGCTGGGTTTGATTTTCCTACTTGTTTAATCCTCGCTTAATTAATTTCTTTCTGAGATTTATTCATCCTACACATAAATCAATACCTGGCAAAGGAGTGACAGATATATGAGGGGTGGTGGAAATGAAGGGACCTATTATAGCATAATATACAAGTCTGTGAACGGTGGCTCATGCTTGTAACCCAGCCCTGCAGGAGGCCAAGGCGGGTGGATTCCATGAAGTCAGGAGTTCCAGACCAGCCTGGCCAACATGGTGAAACCCTATCTGTACTAAAAATACAAAAATTAGCCGAGCATGGTGGTGCATCCCTGTAATCCCAGCTCCTACTCTGGAGGATGAAGCAGGAGAATGACTTCAACCCAGGAGGTGGAGGTTGCAGTGAGTGGAGATTGCATCACTGCACTCCAGCCTGGGTGACACAAGGAGACTCCGTCTCAAAAAATAAAAATAAGAAATGCATAAATATAATAAAACACACACGAATGACAAAGGCACCTGAATTCCAATCATCATTTTTCTATTTCTCTATAATTACTTCTTTGATCCTTTATCTTATCCATTAGGCAATCAGCCTAAAACCTCTTCCCTATTTGGCTTTCTGTGAGCATGAGATCACATAGAAAATGTGAAAGCCCGCTGAATCCTCCAGCACGGATCCTGGAATAGAGAAAGTGCTCTGGTCATCGCAAAAAAAAACTTGCCCACTCACCCAAATCGCCCACCTCACCCCTACTTCCAATCACCTGTGGAGATTCAGATAGACCATGGGGAGGAAACATTAATATTCCTTGGAGTGAGTCCAGATCTTGGAATCAGAGATCAGCGACAGCACTAGCTCCTGTTCCCCTTTCCTACTAATTCACAGGAGGACAGGTGGTATTGAAGCAATAGATGGTGGAGGGGGTGGTCCTTCCCCCAGCCTCTCGGGTAGAACAGCAGCCTAACATGTGTCTCCCGAGATCACAAAGAGCAGCACATTTCACACGGGCTTCAACACTATTTTCTGGCTGTTTGACATAAGAGAATCTTGCTTCGCTATTTTTAATCGTGATTTCACCTTTGTTTCCTTTCCTTGGTGAATGCAATTTGTTTGACTCAAGAATGCTGTGGATGTAGAAATCCTAAAGCACATTCGCTGTGTATCAATCCCAGTGCAGTCTTCCCAGAGAAGACTCTAAACAAATCCTGGACTGCACCTGGGCCTATGCCAATTCCTATCACTCACCGTCACTCCAGGGAGACAGAACACACAGAGGATACGTTACATAGGCAGGTTCATTACTAACAGATAAGCAGCGAGTGACAACAGAAGCCTGCATTTCAATGTGAGCCAGTCCCTCAAGGCTCAGAAAAGCTGCTCGGGACATATGGAGTCACCCCATTTGCAGTGTAACTGGGGGAAGCCAGAAAGCAGCCCAGCCTGGGTTTTGTACCCTGGAGCCACAGGAAGCACTCAGCTAAAGCACTGCATGACGTCCTCCTCCAGGAAGAACAGGAAGACAGCCCAGGCTGTTCTGAGACATTCCTCCTGATCTCAGGATGTTGCTATCTTAGTCCATTTTTGTTGCTCTAAAGGAACACTTGAGCCTGGGTAACTTCTAAAGAAAAGAGATTGGTTTGCCTCACAGTTCTGCAGGCTGTACTGGAAGCATGGCACCAGAATCTATTTCTCTTGACGGCCTCAGGCTGCTCCCACTCTGGCAGAAGGGAAGGAGGGTCTGTCTGTGCAGAGACCGCAGAGATCACACGGCAAGAGAGAGAGTAAGGGGGAGAGGGAGCGATGGAGCTTCCAAGCTCTTTTTAACAACCAGCTCTCCAGGAACTAACAGAGGGGGAACTTGCTAACCCCGTCTCCTTGGGACAGCATTGATCTGTTCATGATGGATCCACCTCCATGACCCAAACACCTCTGAAGAGGCCCAACCTCCCACAATGGGGGTGAAATTTCAATGTGAGGTTTGAAAGGGTCAAACATCTCAACTAAAGTAGTTGTATCCTCAGCACGTTCTATGGTTACTATGAGAGCTATAATTGAGAAAGCAGGGGAAAGCTAGGTCTCCCGCCATTTGGGTGCTTGTCCTAAAGAGACGTTGTATGTGGTTACCTGCCAATCAAGAAATGCGAGACAATTCATAAAGAGGAACTGCTATGATTAGCTTCTTATTGGTGTCTCCTCTTCTTCCAGGTAACCCCAGACACCTACATGTTCTGATTGGGACCTCAGTGGTCAAAATCCCTTTCACCATCCTCCTCTTCTTTCTCCTTCATCGCTGGTGCTCCGACAAAAAAAGTAAGTCTCACGAAGCAGAGGCCAGAGAGCTCAGGGCCATGTGGGGAAGCAGGATGGGAGCACGCGGATGTGTGTTCCTCACCAGCAGGATGGTCCCTGGCCCAAGACAGGAGCCACAGAGGCAGGACTTTCTAGAGAGAGCACCAGATTCCCTTCCCCTGCCTTCAGCTCACAGACCATTGCCTGATTCTGAACTGTATCCTCACGTCCCCTGCAGCCACTCACATCCAGGAGAAGGTTCCATGACAGGCAGAAAGTGGGAGATAGAATCAATGGGATGGGAACTCAGAGCTATTCATGGGATGGGTCCTTGAACTCAGAGAGATAGAATGTCTGAGTCTGCTGTTGGCAACTGAGGGACCTCAGGCACCTATGGCCTCCCCCTGTTTGTTGGTATCTGCTTATGAAATGAGGACCCAGAAGTGCCCTCCGAGCTCTTTTGTTGACTTCCGTCTTCTACAGATGCTGCTGTAATGGACCAAGAGCCTGCAGGGAACAGAACAGTGAACAGCGAGGTAGGTGCTCCTCGGCCCAGCCTCGTGGCTAGTCTTATTCCCAAAGAGTCCTGAAAAATGTGAGCACCCTCCCTCACTCAGCATTTCCCTCTCTCCAGGATTCTGATGAACAAGACCATCAGGAGGTGTCATACGCATAATTGGATCACTGTGTTTTCACACAGAGAAAAATCACTCGCCCTTCTGAGAGGCCCAAGACACCCCCAACAGATACCAGCATGTACATAGAACTTCCAAATGCTGAGCCCAGATCCAAAGTTGTCTTCTGTCCACGAGCACCACAGTCAGGCCTTGAGGGGATCTTCTAGGGAGACAACAGCCCTGTCTCAAAACCGGGTTGCCAGCTCCCATGTACCAGCAGCTGGAATCTGAAGGCATCAGTCTTCATCTTAGGGCATCGCTCTTCCTCACACCACGAATCTGAACATGCCTCTCTCTTGCTTACAAATGTCTAAGGTCCCCACTGCCTGCTGGAGAGAAAACACACTCCTTTGCTTAGCCCACAATTCTCCATTTCACTTGACCCCTGCCCACCTCTCCAACCTAACTGGCTTACTTCCTAGTCTACCTGAGGCTGCAATCACACTGAGGAACTCACAATTCCAAACATACAAGAGGCTGCCTCTTAACACAGCACTTAGACACGTGCTGTTCCACCTCCCTTCAGACTATCTTTCAGCCTTCTGCCAGCAGTAAAACTTATAAATTTTTTAAATAATTTCAATGTAGTTTTCCCGCCTTCAAATAAACATGTCTGCCCTCATGGTTTCGGTAACGAGACTCTTTTCTTGCCTAAGGCTTCCGGTGTTATCATTACCATGTCCACATAACCCCATCTGTTCTCCATTGGGTTCTCAGCCCTGGACTCTGAGCTTCTGGAAGCAGAATGTAGCCTGATTTGTCTCTGAGACTCCAATTTCCATCCAAAGATACAGCACATAGGAGGCTCCAAGGATCGTGAATCACATGAACAAGTGATATTCTTACTCTCTGCAGACCTGGAAAGCTGGCAGAGTCATTCCACGATGAAACATTTGTAGAGACATAGGCCTTGTTAGTCTCATCTCCACGGGGACACATATCAACATATCATCTTTCATAATATAAATATACAGTCGGTCCTCCATATCTGTGGGGTTTACAGGTGTTTATTGAACCAACAATAAATCAAAAATATTTTCAGAAAAAAATCCCCGAAGTTTCAAGAAGCAAAAAACTATGTTGAATCGACACAAATTGAGTGGCGTGTAGGCTGTGTCAGGAATTATAAGTAATCAAGAGATGATTTCATGTATACAGGAGGATGTGCATGGGTTCTATGCAATTGCTATGCTATTTTTTTTTTTTTTTGAGACAGTCTCACTCTCTCACCCAGGCTGGAGTGCAGTGGCATGATCTCAGCTCACTGCAACCTCTGCCTCCCAGGTTCAAGCGATTGTCTTCCCTCAGCCTCCCCAGTAGCCTCCCCTAGGATTACAGGCACGTGCCACCATGCACAGATAAATTTTTTTGTGTGTGTATTTTTAGTAGAGACGGGGTTTCAGAATGTTGGACCAGCTGGTCTTGAACTCCTGACCTCGTGATCTACCCAACTCAGCCTCCCAAAGTGCTGGGATTACAGGCGTGAGCCACGGTGCCCAGCTTCGCTATGCCATTTCATGCAAGGGGCTTGAGCATCTGCAGATTTTGGTATCTGAATGGGGATCCTGGAACCAATCACCCAGGAATAGTGAAGGACCACAGTATATAATTTTTATTTGTCAATCTTAAAAATAAAGCATAAAAAGTTTACAACAACAAGATAAAAAATAAGAAGTGTTTTTATAGTGTGAGGATAAGTTTAGATTTATTTTTTCCTACGTGTAACCCTATGGTCCTGTGTTATTTATTGAGAAAATATTCTATTCCACCTTAAACTACATGGCAGCCTTTGTCAACTATAAAGGGACTGTGTATCCACAGATGTATTTTAGACACAGTTTTCTGCCCAGTGGTTCTCTGTATCCCCTCTCATGAGGATGCTGCATTTCATATAAACTTATAGAACCCCTTAAAATTTGGTAACCTGAGTTCTCTGATTTGTTATTATAGGTTATTTAGTTTGCTTTTTTTTTTCTTTCTTGAGACAGACTCTTCCTCTGTCACCCAAGCTGGAGTTCAGTGGCTTGAGCTCAGCTCACTGCAGCCTCCGCCTCCCAGGTTCAAGCAATTCTCGTGCCTCAGGTTTAGTACTAGAAACTCATCAGGAAAATTAGAATGGCTTTTTGTCACAATTACTCTGATAATGTTAATAATACCTCTTAGATATTTTGCACATTACACATGAAGAAAAGTTTGAATCTCAGATAAAAACAAAAATACATCAAAAGTCTTTAATGTAAGCACAGAATTCAATCACCTCATGTGTGAGAGGTTGGATCTGAGACGTCTTTTGAGTCTGGTCATAGTGAAGGATGCAAGGTGGCAATTGTAGTCACAACAATTTCCAGGAAGCCATGTTCCGCTCTTGAGCGAGCACCCACTGGGCCTCATGCAAGGTAGAAAGAGCCTGCGTACGTCACCCTCCCATGATGTGGTCAACATGTAAACTGCATGGGCAGGGCGCCAAATAACATCCTGTGCGCTGCTGAGCTGAGCTGGGGCGCGGCCTCCTGTCTGCACCGGCAGCACCATGTCGCTCACTGTCGTCAGCATGGCGTGCGTTGGTGAGTCCTGGAAGGGAATAGAGGGAGGGAGAGTGGGGATGGAGATCTCGGCCTAGAGGTAAAGATATGGGCCTGGAGTGGAGATATGGGCCTGGAGTGGAGATATGGGCCTGGGTGTGGAGATATGGGCCTGGAGGTGTAAATATGGGCCTGGAGTGCAGATATGGGCCTGGAGGGGAGATATGGGCCTGGGTGTGGAGATATGGGCCTGGAGTGGAGATACGGGCCTGGAGTGGAGATATGGGCCTGGAGTGGAGATATGGGCCTGCAGGTGGAGATCTGGGCCTGGAGTGGAGATATGGGTCTGATGTGGAGATATGGGCCTGGAGTGGAGATATGGGCCTGGAGTGGAGATATGGGCCTAGAGGGGAGATCTGGGCCTGGAGTGGAGATATGGGTCTGATGTGGAGATATGGGCCTGGAGTGGAGATAGGGGCCTGGAGTGGAGATAGGGGCCTGGAGTGGAGATATGGGCCTGGAGTGGAGATCTGGGCCAGGAAGTGTTGATCTGGGCCTGGAGCCTGGGTCTCTCCACAGCTGAGAGCCCTGTTCTTGGCAGCAGGTAGCAGGGAGGCTAAGTTTACCTTCAGCCCAGCAAGGGCCTGGCTGCCAAGACACACAGTGCAGTGGGGGCAGCAGGGTGCCCTGGTTTGCCTGCAGTTGGATCGTCTATCATGATCTTTCTTTCCAGGGTTCTTCTTGCTGCAGGGGGCCTGGCCACTCATGGGTGAGTCCTTCCCCAAACCTTAGGGTGTCATCTCCCCACATAAGAGGATTTTTCTGAAACAGGAGGGAAGTCCTGTCGGGGAGTCTCTCATAAACTAGGAAGAGGGGACCCTTGGATACTCGGCCCACATTTCTGACCTCGCCCTCCCCGGCCTTTCTTTCCCTTTCCTGAGTCAAGCTCTGTGAAGACTGGGGTGAGACTGGGGTGCTCCAAGCTGGGGTGTGCAGGGAGGAAGTGGTGTCAGCAGCAGAGAAAGAGAGGGAAGCAGTGCTAGGAACAGCAGGTCCTCTGAGGACAAAGGTATAACTGACACCCTCCAGCGTTTCCGTGACGGTAGGGGCTGCAGTGTGGCTGCGGTCTTTCTACCAGAAGAGGGGGGAAACCACAGCCATGGCCCTGACATTCCAAATCCTCTGAGGGGGCTCAGTTCATGAATTGGCTGATATTCCATTCACATAGGACATGCCCTCCATGCCGTGTCTACTTTGTGTTGTTTTATGTGAGTAATTTTGCAGTATTAAAATCTAGTAAGAGTCACTTATTCAGCACTTGCTCAAAGTTCTCAGCTGACACTTGTTGTAGGGAGACGCCATGTCTATGTGGGGTGGGTCCTTCCTGTAGCCCTGGGCACCCAGGTGTGGTAGGAGCCTTAGAAAGCGGAAATGGGAGAATCTTCTGAGCACAGGGAGGGAGGGGTGGCTCCACATCCTCCTCTCTAAGGCAGTGCCTCCTTCTCCCCCAGGTGGTCAGGACAAACCCTTCCTGTCTGCCCGGCCCAGCACTGTGGTGCCTCGAGGAGGACACGTGGCTCTTCAGTGTCACTATCGTCGTGGGTTTAACAATTTCATGCTGTACAAAGAAGACAGAAGCCACGTTCCCATCTTCCACGGCAGAATATTCCAGGAGAGCTTCATCATGGGCCCTGTGACCCCAGCACATGCAGGGACCTACAGATGTCGGGGTTCACGCCCACACTCCCTCACTGGGTGGTCGGCACCCAGCAACCCCCTGGTGATCATGGTCACAGGTCAGAGGCTTTCTGTCTGGGCTTCTCACTGTCCCACCTCCTGAATCCCAGAGCTTCTGGTGGGGGTGTCCATCAGGGTCCCATCACCCAGGCCCCAACTGTATTTGGGGTCAAGGGAGATTGAATACAGGGGAAATGGGCGCTGTGGTGGGAAGAATAACTGTCGCCAATGATGGCTACATTGTAAACCCTGGAGCCTGTGACTATTTATGTTATAGGGCAGGGGACTGAAGGGGAAGGTGGAGCTCAGGTTGTTGATGAGTTGACCTTGAGATGGGGAGACAGCCTGGACTGTCCTGCTGGGCTCAGTGTAATCACAAGGGTCCGCGTGAGAGGTGGAGGAAGAGGGGAGTGGGGATTAGAGCAGTGTAGTGGGAGGGAGACGCTATCAGCCACTGTGGGCTTTGAAGGTGGAGGAAGGCCACTAGTCACAGAATGCAGGTGGCCTCTAAGGGCTGGAGAAGTCAAGAGAACTGATTCGCTGAGTCTCCAGAGGGAACGCAGCCCTGCAGATGCCTTGATTTCAGCACAGGGAGAACTGGATCCAATTTCTGTCCCCAGAAGTGGAAGGGGTCAGTGTGTTCTCTCCTGCTGCCATGTTTGTGATAATTTTCTGCAGCAGCAACAGGAAACCGACACAGGAACCCAGGTCAAGGACAAGCTAGGAAACCAAACAAGGATAGCCAGGTGTGGTGGTGGGCACGAGTAATCCAACGACTGGGGAGGCTGAGGCAAGAGAATCACTTGAACCGGGGAGGCAGAGGTTGCAGTGAGCCAAGACAACACCACTGCACTCCAGCCTGGGTGAAAAAGTGACTGTCTCAAAAATAAATTAATTAATCAATTAATTAAAGAAACCAAACAAGGAGAAGGTTGGCTACCGTGGGATCAGCAAGGGTGGGATGCTGATGCCACCACCAGGCTCCATCCACATAGGAAGGGGTTGATGCTCCTGGAACCAGCACCAGGGACCACCCTATGGAAGCTGGGGCCATGGAGAAGGCACAGACATGGCAGGAGAGGCTCCCAATCCCCATCAGGAACAGGGTGTGTGGACACTGATGTCTGCCTTACTGATGAGTTGATACCTCTGCCAGAGACTCCAATTTGTTCAAAAGAGATTGATTCAGGCTGCTGAGAGCCTGGACATGCAGCCTGTCCTCTTCCACCCTCACATAGACAGCAGGAAAGAGACTAGTGGGAAAGAGATACAACAGCCCAAGAGATGAGGCTCTCTTCACAGTGGGAAGGGAGTCAGGGGCTACTGGAGACAGAGGGACAGAGAAGAGGGAGGAAGACAAATGGAGGGACCTGCACCAGGGGATATGGGCACAGAAAAGACACGGAGACACAGAGAGGGAGGAGAGAGACAGACCTCTGGGAGGGGAACCCTCACTCATTCCAGGTGCCATGGATGGGATGATAAAGAGAGATGCCTTCTAAACTCACAACTTCTCTTTCTAGGAAACCACAGAAAACCTTCCCTCCTGGCCCACCCAGGGCCCCTGCTGAAATCAGGAGAGACAGTCATCCTGCAATGTTGGTCAGATGTCATGTTTGAGCACTTCTTTCTGCACAGAGATGGGATCTCTGAGGACCCCTCACGCCTCGTTGGACAGATCCATGATGGGGTCTCCAAGGCCAACTTCTCCATCGGTCCCTTGATGCCTGTCCTTGCAGGAACCTACAGATGTTATGGTTCTGTTCCTCACTCCCCCTATCAGTTGTCAGCTCCCAGTGACCCCCTGGACATCGTGATCACAGGTGAGAGTGTCCAGACATTCTTCTCATTGTCATTGGGACACAGAGTGAATGATCCAGGACTTGGAACCCCCAGGTGGTCATGAGGAAGATAAGCGTGGGATTCTTATGGAGAGAGACTGACTCGGTGAGGTCTGTACCAACAGAGACAGGGAAACAGGAGACATAAGTACAGACCAGGTGTCATAACAGAGGACAGACACAGGGGCCATACGGGGAAGTAGAAAAGAGAGAAAGAGGTAAAGGAGACACTCAGACAGACAGACATGTGCCAGAGAGAAGTGTCCTTCCATGCTGACTTTGCTCAGAGACCTGGCACAGGTTAGAAGTTTCATTTCTGTTTTGTCTCCACAAAGTGCTTCTACGAGGAGAACCCAAGGACACCCATATTTCTGACCTGAGTTGGGCCCTGTGGCCTCAGGCCTTGTGGCATCTACAGATGCCATGTTTATTCTGACACCTCTGCCTTCCATGCAGTGGAGCCATAATTATCCCAGGATATCATGGCCCCAGAACACCAACCCCTAAATACTGTGTGTACTTGGTGTCCCCAGACTAGATTCTGAGGCTCATATTCCAAATAATCCTACATATAATAGGATCACTGAGAGACACAGAGATAAATCAGGGACTTCAAAAAGCAAAGGCATAAACACACAGAGAATGAGCCAGAGGAAGGGGATTGAGAGACTCACAGACACACAAAAAGAAAGAAAAGAGGGCAGAGGAGTGGAGAGAATGCTGGAAGGGAGGAGAGAAAAGCCCCAAAATCAGAACCCTGAGGGAGGGGCACAAAGACAGAGAAAGATAAAGATGTGGGGATGGATTGCAGAGATTCCAAATAGAACTAGAGAGACTGAGAGGCAGAGAAAGACAAGGAGATGGAGAGAGACAGATGATAGATGGATAGATAGATATAGATAGATGATAAATAGGTAGATGATAGATAATGGATAGGTTATAGATACATAGATGATGATTGATAGATGATACATAGAGATGATGATGATGATGATGATGAAGATAGATAGATAGAAGACACATATATAAATATATAGATACATAGATGATACATAGAGACTGACAGGCAGACAGAGAGGTAATAGAGAGAGAGAGAGATGATACATAGATACAGATAATACATAGATGATTGATGGATAGACAGATAGACAATTGATAGATAAATGATACATAGATATAGATGACAGATAATTTGTAGATAGACACAAAATAGATAGATAGATAATAGATAGAAATATGCAGAAAGTTATGAACAAGACAGAAAGTGAGAGACTCAGAATTATAGAAAAAGGAAGATCAAGTCAACCAATCCAAGGAGAGTCAGAGAGAATAAAACAATCCAAAAAGGGAAAGCATACCCAGGGGTGGGGAAGTGAGGTCAGAGACCTAGAGAGACAGAGAAGGCGGAAGGAGGAAATAGACATGAAGAGAGTTGGGGTGGAGGGTGAGAGAGAGAGAGAGCATTAGGTCATAGAGCAGGGGAGTGAGTTCTCAGCTCAGGTATGAGGGGAGCTGTGACAAGGAAGAACCTCCCTGAGGAAACTGCCTCTTCTCCTTCCAGGTCTATATGAGAAACCTTCTCTCTCAGCCCAGCCGGGCCCCACGGTTCAGGCAGGAGAGAACGTGACCTTGTCCTGTAGCTCCTGGAGCTCCTATGACATCTACCATCTGTCCAGGGAAGGGGAGGCCCATGAACGTAGGCTCCGTGCAGTGCCCAAGGTCAACAGAACATTCCAGGCAGACTTTCCTCTGGGCCCTGCCACCCACGGAGGGACCTACAGATGCTTCGGCTCTTTCCGTGCCCTGCCCTGCGTGTGGTCAAACTCAAGTGACCCACTGCTTGTTTCTGTCACAGGTGAGGAAAACCCGTGTCTGTCCCATGTCTTATGATCCTAGAGCCATAGCTGAGGAGCTTCCTGCCGATGATGGGGAGAAGCATGGACAGATGCAGAGAGAACACGAAGACTGGGTGTGAGGGGGGGGTCAGGGTGCAGGATGGCAGACAGGGCACCTCCAAACCCTCTTGCATGGCCTGCATGGAGGCCCATGGTCAGGGCTCCAGGCACCCAGGCAGATGGAGAAAGCGGTCAGGACAGACCCAGAGAAGGGGAGACTGGGCTCAGTTTGGGGAGATCAGAGGTTCCCTCAGCCCCTCAACCTTACCCATTTCCCAGAAGCCCATCCTGGCCTCTCACCCACACAGAGAGATGTCATCACCAGCAACCCCTACACTCTTTTCTTTTCATTTTCAAAAATATTTATTGAGGTTAAATGTAACTATATAATTTACCAACTTTACCATTTTTAAAAGTAAAATCTAGTGGTCATAAATACCTTTATATGCTGGGTGTGGTGGTTCACGGTTGTAATCTTGGCGCTTTGAGAGGCCAAGAAAGGTGGATCATTTAAGATCAGGGACTCGAGATCAGCCTGGCCAACATGCGGGAAATTCATCTTTACTAAACAGACAAGAAAAATTAGCCAAGCATGCCGGCATGCACCTGTAGTCCTAGCTACTTGGGAGGCTGAGGCAGGAGAAGCACTTAAAGCCAGGAGGCAGAGGTTGCACTGAGCCGAGATCATGCCACTGCACTGCAGCCTGGGAGACAGAGAGAGACTCTGTTTCTAAATAAATAAATACATCTATATTCTTTTTTTTGTTACCCTCCACCCTTCCCTTCCTGGCCTCTGGTATCCACCATTCTATTCTCTACCTTCATGAGATCCACCTTTTATCTCCTGCATGTGGTGAGAAATGGGAATCTTTGTAATGACCTCGAGTTCCATCCATGTGGCTGCAAATGACAGGATGTTATTGTTTCTATGGATGAGTAGTCTCCACCGTGTGTGTGTACTACAGTTCTCTATCCATTCACCCACTGATAGGCAGGTAGGTTGACTCCACATCTTGGCTACTGTGAACAGTGCTGGAACAGTCATATGAGTGCAGATATCACTTCGATACACTGATGTCCTTTCCTTTGGATATAAACCCAGTAGTGAAATTGCTGGACACTATGAAAGTTCTCTTTTTTTTTTTTTCTTTTTTGAGAAAGAGTTTCCCTCCTTAGTCCAAGCTGGAGTCAAAGTGGTGCGATCTTGGCTCATTGCAACCTCTGCTTCCTAGGTTCAAACGATTCTCCTGACTCAGCCTCCCTAGTAGCTGTGATTACAGGTGCACGCCACCATGCCTGACTAATTCTTGTATTTTTTAGCACAGACGGGATATCCCAATTTTGGGCAGGCTGCTCTCAAACTCCTGACCTCAAGTGAGGTGCCTGCCTCGGTTTCCCAAAGTGCTGAAGTTACAGGCATAAGCCACTATGCCCAGCCTGCTTTTAGTTTTTTAAAGATTTTCCATACTTTTCTCCATAATAGTTGTACTAATTTACATTCCTACCAACAGGGTACCAGGGTTCTCCTTTCTCTACCATCTTGCCAGCATTTGTTTTGCCTGTCTTGCAGATAAAAGCCATTTTACTTTACTTTATTTATTTATTTATTTATGTTGAGATGGAGTTTCACTCATAGTCGCCCAGGCTGGAGTGCAAGGGTGTGATCTCGGCTCACTGCAACCTCTGCCTCCCGCGTTCAACTGATTCTCCTGCCTCAGCCTCCAAAGTAGCTGGGATTACAGGCATGTGCCACCACGCCTAGCTAATTTTTGTATGTTTAGTAGAGAGGGAGTTTCTCCATGTTGGTCAGGCTGGTCTCCCGACCTCAGGTGATCCGCCCACCTCCGCCTCCCAAAGTGCTGGAATTACAGGCGTGAGCCACCGGCCTAAAAGGCATTTTAATGGGATGAGATGAAAACTCATCGCGATTGTAATTTACATTTCTGTGATGATGAGTGATGCTGAGCACTTTTTCATATACGTGATCGCCATTTCTATGTTTTGTTTGTGGAGAAATGTCTCCTCATGTCTTTTGCTCGTTTTTTAATTAAATTGTTTTATTGAGTTGTTTGAGCTTCTTATATTTCCAGTTATTAATCCCATCTCAGATGAATAGTTTGCAAATATTTGCTCCTATTTTGTGGGTTGTCTCTTCACTTTGTTGGTTTATCTTTGGTGGTGCAGAAGTTGCTTGGTTTGATGTAATCCTAATGGTCTATTTTTTGCTTTGATTACTTGTGTTTTGAAGGTTTTAAACAAAATGTCTTTCGTCAGACAAATGTCTTCCCCATTATTTTCTTCTACATGTTTCATAGGTTCAGGCCTTAGACTCATGTTTTTAATCCATTTTCATTTGATTTTTGTGTAAGGTGACAGGTATAGATGCAGTTTTATTCCTCTGCATGTAGATATCCAGTTTTCCCCACACCATTTATTGAAGACTGTCCTTTCCTGATTGTAAGTTCTCGGCACCTTTGTCAAAGTCCATTAAATGGGCTGGGTATGGTGGCTCACACCTGCAATTCCAGCACTTTGGGAGGCCGAGGCAGGTGGATCACCTAAAGCCAGGAGTTCAAGACCAGGCTGGCCAACAGAGTGAAACCTCGTCTCTACTAAAAATACAAAAATTAGCTGAGCATGGTGATCAGTGCCTGTAATACCACTACTCAGGAGTTTGAAGCAAGAGAATTTCTTGAATCCAGGAAGTGGAGGTTGCATTGAGCTGAGATTGCACCTCTACACTCCAGCCTGCATGACAGAGCAAGATTCTATCACACACACACAAAAGAAAGCCATTGGATGTAAATGCATGGATTATATCTGTGTTCTCCATTCTGTTCCATTTTTTATGTGCCTTTCTTTATGCCAATGTCATGCTGTTTTGCTTACTACAGCTCTGTAACATATTTCTAAGTCAGGTAGTGTGATGCTCCTGTTTTCTCTTTATACCTTCAAGTCTCAAGACAGTGGGCATCGCACACAAAAATTATGGAGAAAAGGATCCCAAGACTCCCAGGGTCCAACATTAGATAACAGAGTGTTGGCCATGAACCAACCTCAAAGATTTCCATTGAGTAGAGGACAAGCACCCTCATTTCCTCACATCTCTCCTGTCCCGTGTTCTAGGAAACCCTTCAAGTAGTTGGCCTTCACCCACAGAACCAAGCTCCAAATCTGGTGAGTAAAGGACCCCTCTTATCTCTGCTTTTGGAAACCTGGGGAGGTGGAAGCCTTGGATGCAAGTGTTGGCTCAAACCTCCCAGCTCTGTGAATGAGGGCCTGTCTTCCACCATCTCTGAACTCCAGACACTCCAACAGTGAAAGGGATCTAGGGCCACCAAAGGGCTCAGCGAAGTCTCTTTACCTTTAATTTCCTGCAGGTGAGACCTCCTACAAGCTAGAAGAATAATTGCCAATCTGACATCCTTCTCAGGAAAAATGCAGTGTTTTTTCTGCCTGCATTCCTAACTGGAGGATAAATTCCCGGGGGCTTGAGAGAGGGAAGGGAAGGGAACATCTGATGAGGGTGGGTGTTTTAGAGAAGTTCCACTTGCCAAGGAATGAATTACTGTTGGTCATCAGGCAACCCTGGCTGACTCAGCAGAGCAAGAGCCTTGCCGTAACAGAGAACAGAGCTCATGCACGCACACTTCGACTCACTGACTCATTCAGCCACGGCCCCATGCTCAGGCTGTGCAGTGTGGAAGCTTTTCCTATTGTTGCCATAACAAATTTCCACAAGATTCGTGGGTGAAAACAAAACGGTTATTTAATTATCTTACAGTGCTGTAGCTCAAAGCATGACGTGCATGTCACTGGGCTAAAATCAAGGTGACAGCAAGGCTGCCTTCCCTCTGAGGGTTCCAGGCAAGAATCTGCTTCTCACTTTTCTCAGCTTCTAGAGGCTCCCATGTTCCTTGGCTCCTGGTACCCTTCCTCCTTCCTCAAAGCCCACAAAGACTGGTCACATCTCACATGGCATCACTCAGACCCTTCTTCCTTACCACACCTCTTTCTCTGAATGCTGCTCTCCCTTCTTGCCCTTCTTTTGAAAACTTGGGGATTCTATTGGGTTCACCAAGATGAAAATCCATCATAATCTCCCGGAAATCATCCAGGATACCCTCCTTTTAAGTTCAGCTGACTAGCAACCATAATTCCATCTGCAATCTTCATTCCTCCTTTCATGTAAAATAACATATTCACAAGCTATGGAGGCTAGGACATGGACATTTTTGGGGTGGGACAACATTCTCCTGCCTTCCACAAACAGTGAACAAGATGCATTTGGCCTCTGTTCTTGGGACACTGATCTTGCAGATGGTTAAATGGGAGGGCAGAAAATGTAGGCACAAGGGGACCAATAAATGAATGATCTATTGAGAAGCATCTGTGCATGAAATCTATTTATTTATGTATTTACCTACTTGTTTATTGAGACGGAGCCTTGCTCTGTCGTCCAGGCTAGAGTGCAGTGGCATGATCTCGGCTCACTGCAACCTCCACCTCCTGGGCTGAACTGATCTCCTCCCTCAGCCTCTCCAGTAGCTGGGATTACAGACCACAACCACCACGCCCGGCTAACTCTTTTTGCATATTTTCTGTAGAGAGGATGTTTCACCATGTTGGCCAGGCTGGTCTCAAATTCCCAACCTCAGGTGATCCAATAGCCTCTGCCTCCCAACACGCTGGGATAAGAGGCATGAGCCACGGGGCCAAGCCAAATTTTCAAATCAATAATAGATAATGCTGAGTGTATGATTTCAGGTGACAGAGAAGTTCTCACTAATCAGATATTTGTGACATTAATGAAAAACACGGATTGAACCCCTGGAAGATTGGCAGAAGGATTTTCCACACAGCTGTCAGCCGTGAAGGCACAAAGGTGAAAACAATCTGATGTGGAAGGAAGAGGCTCTGCCTGAAATGCCGGGAATGAGATGGGGAGAATGACAAGACGACTGTGGAGAGACGGAGAGCACACTGGGTACACAGGAAACTAAGGAGCAACAAGGAGTGTGTGTTTGACACTCACAGCCCTTGGATTCACCTCGGGGTAACCAGGAATCCCTACATGATTAATATGACTGACATGAAAATAAGGGAGGCTCAGGTGCATAACTGGAATCTAGGAGACCGTGGAAAAGGCAATTGCCGCCCCACTGGTGAAATGTGGTGCTGATTTAGACACTAAATGAATGAAGTAGATGGATATAAGATATGTTTGTGAGGTAGAATCATTGACTGGAAACGCTTACTGGGTTTAATTTTTCCTGGTAGTTTAATCCTCGCTTCACTAACTTATTTCTGAGATTTATTTCTCCTGCATCTAAATCAATACCTGGCAGAGGAGGGAGAGCTAGATGAGGGGTGGTGCAAATGAAGGGACCTAGTATAGCATAATATACAAGGCTGTGAACGGTGGCTCACGCCTGTAACCCAGCACTTCAGGAGGCCAACGCGGGTGGATCACATGAAGTCAGGAGTTCGAGACCAGCCTGGCCAACATGGAGAAACCCTATCTCTACTAAAAATACAAAAATTAAACAGGCATGATGGTGGTGCATGACTGTAATCCCAGCTACTCTGGAGGAGGAAGCAGGAGAATGACTTCAGCCCTGGAGGCAGAGGTTGCAGTGAGTGGAGATCGCATCACTGCACACCAGCCTGGGCTACACAGGGATACTCTGTCTCAAAAAATAAAAATAAAAAATACATAAATATAATAATATACACAAATGATGCAGGCACCTGAATTCCAATCATCATTTTTCTATTCCTCTATAATTACTTCTTTGATCCTTTATCTTATCCATTAGAAAATCAGCCTAAAACCTCTTCCATATTTGGCTTTCTGTGAACATGAGATCATATGGAAAATATGAAAGCCCCCTGAACCCACCAGCACAGGCCCTGAAATAGGGAAAGTGCTCTGTTCATCACAAGAAACTTTCCCCCTCACCCAAATCCCCCACCTCACCCCTACTTCCAATCACCTGTGGAGATACAGATAGATCATGGGGAGGTAAACGCTAATACTCCTTGGAGTGAGTTCAGATCTTGGAATCAGAGATCAGCACCAGCACTAGCTCCTGCTCCCCTTTCCTACTAATTCACAGGAGGACAGGTGGTTTTGAAGCAATAGATGGTGGAGGGGGTGGTCTTTCCCCCAGCCTCTCAGGTGGAACAGCAGCCTAACATGTGTCTCGCGAGATCACAAAGAGTAGCACGTTTCACATGGGCTTCATCATTATTTCCTGGCTGTTTGACATAAGAGAATTCTACTTTGCTTTTTTGATCTTGATTTCACTTTTGTGTCCTTTTCTTGGAGAATGTAATTTGAGTCAAGAGGGTTGTGGATGTAGAAACTGTAAAGCACATTCACTGTGTATCAATCCCAGTCCAGTCTTTCCAGAGAAGACTCTAAACACCTGCTGTACTGCACCTGGGCCTATGCCAATTTCTATCACTCACCGTCACTCCAGGGAGACAGAACACACAGAGAATACGTTACATAGGCAGGTTCATTACTAACAGATAAGCAGCGAGTGACAACAGAAGCCTACATTTCAACGTGAGCCAGTCCCTCAAGGCTCAGAAAAGCTGCTCGGGACATATGGAGTCACCTCATTTGCAGTGTATCTGGGGGAAGCCAGAAAATAGCCCAGCCTGGGTTTTGTACCCTGAAGCCACAGGAAGCACTCAGCTAAAGCACTGCATGACGTCCTCCTCCAGGAAGAACAGGAAGACAGCACAGGCTGTTCTGAGACGTTCCTCCTGATCTCAGGACGTTGCTGTCTTAGTCCATTTTTGTTGCTATAAAAGAACACTTGAGCCTGGGTTACTTCTTTTTTTTTTTTTTTTTTTTTTGTATAGTGCTTCTGATGAGCTTTTTTTTAAAATTTTTATTATTATTATACTTTAAGTTTTAGGGTACATGTGCACAATGTGCAGGTTAGTTACATATGTATACATGTGCCATGCTGGTGTGCTGCACCCATCAACTCGTCATTTAGCATTAGGTATATCTCCTAATGCTATCCCTCCCCCCTCCCCCCACCCCACAACAGTCCCCAGAGTGTGATGTTCCCCTTCCTGTGTCCATGTGTTCTCATTGTTCAATTCCCACCTATAAGTGAGAACATGCGGTGTTTGGATTTTTGTCCTTGTGATAGTCTACTGAGAATGATGATTTCCAATTTCATCCATGTCCCTGCAAAGGACATGAACTCATCATTTTTTATGGCTGCATAGTATTCCATGGTGTATATGTGCCACATTTTCTTCATCCAGTCTATCATTGTTGGACATTTGGGTTGGTTCCAAGTCTTTGCTATTGTGAATAGTGCCACAATAAACATACGTGTCCATGTGTCTTTATAGCAGCATGATTTATAGTCCTTTGGGTTTATACCCAGTAATGGGATGGCTGGGTCAAATGGTATTTCAAGCTCTAGATCCCTGAGGAATCGCCACACTGACTTCCACAATGGTTGAACTAGTTTACAGTCCCACCAACAGTGTAAAAGTGTTCCTATTTCTCCACATCCTCTCCAGCACCTGTTGTTTCCCGACTTTTTAATGATCGCCATTCTAACTGGTGTGAGATGGTATCTCATTGTGGTTTTGATTTGCATTTCTCTGATGGCCAGTCATGGTGAGCATTTTTTCATGTGTTTTTTGGCTGCATAAATGTCTTCTTTTGAGAAGTGTCTGTTCATGTCCTTTGCCCACTTTTTGATAGGATTGTTTGTTTTTTTCTTGTAAATTTGTTTGAGTTCATTGTAGATTCTGGATATTAGCCCTTTGTCAGATGAGTAGGTTGCGAAAATTTTCTCCCATTTTGTAGGTTGTCTGTTCACTCTGATGGTAGTTTCTTTTGCTGTGCAGAAGCTCTTTAGTTTAATTAGATCCCGTTTGTCAATTTTGGCTTTTGTTGCCGTTGCTTTTGGTGTTTTAGACATGAAGTCCTTGTCCATGCCTATGTCCTGAATGGTAATGCCTAGGTTTTCTTCTAGGGTTTTTATGGTTTTAGGTCTAACGTTTAAGTCTTTAATCCATCTCAAATTAATTTTTGTATAAGGTGTAAGGAAGGGATCCAGTTTCAGCTTTCTACCTATGGCTAGCCAGTTTTCCCAGCACCATTTATTAAATAGGGAATCCTTTCCCCATTGCTTGTTTTTCTCAGGTTTGTCAAAGATCACATAGTTGTAGATATGTGGCATTATTTCTGAGGGCTCTATTCTGTTCCATTGATCTATATCTCTGTTTTGGTACCAGTACCATGCTGTTTTGGTTACTGTAGCCTTGTAGTATAGTTTGAAGTCAGGCAGCATGATGCCTCCAGCTTTGTTCTTTTGGCTTAGGATTGACTTGGCAATGCAGGCTCTTTTTTGATTCCATATGAACTTTAAGGTAGTTTTTTCCAATTCTGTGAAGAAAGTCATTGGTAGCTTGATGGGGATGGCATTGAATCTATAAATTACCTTGGGCAGTATGGCCATTTTCACGATCTTGATTCTTCCTACCCATGAGCATGGAATGTTCTTCCATTTGTTTGTATCCTCTTTTATTTCATTGAGCAGTGGTTTGTAGTTCTCCTTGAAGAGGTCCTTCATATCCCTTGTAAGTTGGATTCCTAGGTATTTTATTCTCTTTGAAGCAATTGTGAATGGGAGTTCACTCATGATTTGGCTCTCTGTTTGTCTGTTATTGGTGTATAAGAATGCTTGTGATTTTTGTACATTGATTCTGTATCCTGAGACTTTGTAGAAGCTGCTTATCAGCTTAAGGAGATTTTGGGCTGAGACAATGGGGTTTTCTATATATACAATCATGTCATCTGCAAACAGGGACAATTTGACTTCCTCTTTTCCTAATTGAATACCCTTTATTTCCTTCTCCTGCCTAATTGCCCTGGCCAGAACTTCCAACACTATGTTGAATAGGAGTGGTGAAAGAGGGCATCCCTGTCTTGTGCCAGTTTTCAAAGGGAATGCTTCCAGTTTTTGCCCATTCAGTATGATACTGGCTGTGGGTTTGTTATAGATGGCTCTTATTATTTTGAGATACGTCCCATCAATGCCTAATTTATTGAGAGTTTTTAGCATGAAGCGTTGTTGAATTTTGTCAAAGGCCTTTTCTGCATCTATTGAGATAATCGTCCGGTTTTTGTCTTTGGTTCTGTTTATATGATGGATTACATTTATTGATTTGCATATATTGAACCAGCCTTGCATCCCAGAGCCTGGGCAACTTCTAGAGAAAACAGATTTGTTTGCCTCACAGTTCTGCAGGCTGTACTGGAAGCATGGCACCAGCATCTGTTTCCTGTGACGGCCTCAGGCTGCTCCCACTCTGGCAGAAGGGAAGGAGGGTCTGTCTGTGCAGAGACCACAGAGATCACATGGCAAGAGAGGGAGCAAGGGGGAGGGCGAGCGATGGAGCTTCCAAGCTCTTTTTAACAACCAGCCCTCCGGGAACTAATAGAGGGGGAACTTGCTAACCCCATCATGTGGGGCAGCATTAATCTATTCATGATGGATCCACCTCCATGACTCAAACACCTTCCCATAGGCCCAAACTTCCACACTGGGGGTTAAATTTCAATATTTCAGTGTGAGGTTTCAAAGGGTCAAACATCTAAACTAAAGCAGCTGTATCCTCAGCATGTTCTATGGTTTCTATGAGAGCTGTAACTGAGAAAGCAGGAGAAAGCTGGGTCTCCCGCCATCAGGCTGCTTGTCCTAAGGAGATGTTCCATGTGGTTACCTGTCAATCAAGAAATGAGACAATCCATAAAGAGGAACTGCTATGATTAGCTTCTTATTGGATTCCCATCTTCCTCCAGGTATCTGCAGACACCTGCATGTTCTGATTGGGACCTCAGTGGTCATCTTCCTCTTCATCCTCCTCCTCTTCTTTCTCCTTTATCGCTGGTGCTCCAACAAAAAGAGTAAGTCTCACGAAGCAGAGGCCAGAGAGCTCAGGGCCATGTGGGGAAGCAGGATGGGAGCACGCGGGTGTGTGTTCCTCACTGGCAGGATGGTCCCTGGCCCAAGGGAGGAGCCACAGAGGCAGGGCTTTCTAGAGAGAGCACCAGACAACCTGCCCCTGCCTTCAGCTCACAGACCATTGCCTGGTTCTGAACTGTATCCTCACATCCCCTGCAGCCACTGACATCCAGAAGCTTCCATGACAGGCAGAAAGTGGGAGACAGAATCAATGGGATGCCAATTGAGAGCACTTCATGGGATGGGGTCTTGAACTCAGAGAGATAGAATGTCTGAGTCTGGATGTTGGCAGCTGAAGAGCCTCAGGCACCTACAGCCTCCCCCTGTGGGTTGGTGTCTGCCCATGAAATGAGGACCCAGAAGGGCCCTCCAAGCGGTTTTGATGACTTCCGTCTCCTACAGATGCTGCTGTAATGGACCAAGAGCCTGCGGGGGACAGAACAGTGAATAGGCAGGTAGGTCCTCCTCGGCCCAGCCTCACGGATACAGTCTTATCCCTAATAGTCCTGAAAAATGTGAGCACCCTCCCTCACTCAGCATTTCCCTCTCTCCAGGACTCTGATGAACAAGACCCTCAGGAGGTGACGTACGCACAGTTGGATCACTGCGTTTTCATACAGAGAAAAATCAGTCGCCCTTCTCAGAGGCCCAAGACACCCCTAACAGATACCAGCGTGTACACGGAACTTCCAAATGCTGAGCCCAGATCCAAAGTTGTCTCCTGCCCACGAGCACCACAGTCAGGTCTTGAGGGGGTTTTCTAGGGAGACAACAGCCCTGTCTCAAAACCAGGTTGCCAGATCCAATGAACCAGCAGCTGGAATCTGAAGGCATCAGTCTGCATCTTAGGGGATCGCTCTTCCTCACACCACGAATCTGAACATGCCTCTCTCTTGCTTACAAATGCCTAAGGTCGCCACTGCCTGCTGCAGAGAAAACACACTCCTTTGCTTAGCCCACAAGTATCTATTTCACTTGACCCCTGCCCACCTCTCCAACCTAACTGGCTTACTTCCTAGTCCTACTTGAGGCTGCAATCACACTGAGGAACTCACAATTCCAAACATACAAGAGGCTCCCTCTTAACACGGCACTTACACACTTGCTGTTCCACCTTCCCTCATGCTGTTCCACCTCCCCTCAGACTATCTTTCAGCCTTCTGTCATCAGTAAAATTTATAAATTTTTTTTATAACTTCAGTGTAGCTCTCTCCTCTTCAAATAAACATGTCTGCCCTCATGGTTTCGATAATGTGACTCTTTATTCGCCAAAAGTTTCCAGTGTTATCATTACTATGTCCATATAACCTGATATGTTCTCTACTGGGTTCTCAGCCCTGGACTCTGAGCTTCTGGAAGCAGGGTGGAGCCTCATTTGTCTCTGGGACTCCAATTTCCATCCAAAGATGCAGCACATAGGAGGTTCCAAGGATCGTGAATCACATGAACAAGTGATATTCTTACTCTCTGCAGACCTGGAAAGCTGGCAGAGTCATTCCAAGATGAAACATTTGTAGAGTCATAGGCCTTGTTAGTCTCATCTCCACAGGGACACATGTCAACACATCATCTTTCATACTATAAATATACAGTCGCTCCTCCATATCTGTGGGGTTTACAGGTGTTTATTGAACCAAATATAAATCAAAAATATTCAGAGAAAAAATCCACAAAGTTCCAAAAAGCAAAAATACTATATTGTGTGGACACAAGTGAGGTGGTGTGTAGGCTGTATCAGGAATTATAAGTAATCTAGAGATGATTTCATGTATACAGGAGGATGTGCATGGGTTATATGCAAACGCTGTGCCATTTCATGCAACAGGCTTGAGCATCTGCAGATTTTGGTGTCTGGTAGGGAGGGGGGTTTCCTGGAACCAATCACCCATGAATAGTGAAGGACAACTGTATATAATTTTCATTCATCAATTTTATAAATAAATCATCAAAATGTATGATAATAAGATAAAAAATTAGCAGTGTTTTTATGGTGTGAAAATAAGCTTAGATTTATTTTTTCCTGCTTGTAACCCTCTGGTCCAATGTTATTTACTGAGAAGACATTCTATTCCACCTTAATCCGCATGGCAGCCTCTGTCAACTATAAAAGGACTGTGTGTACACAGATGTATTTTACACACTCTTTTCTGCTCAGTGGCTCTCTGTGTCCACTCTCATGAGGATGCTGCACTTTATGTGGCCTTATAGAACCCCTTAAAATTTGGCAGCCTGAATCCTCTAATTTCTCCTTCCTCTTTAAGATTGCCATTATTATTATTATTGGCTATTTGCTTTTCCATGTAAATTTGTAATCATTTTTCTCATTTCCACCAAAAACAATGCTTGTAATTTTGTTGTGACTCCCTTACATCTACAGGTAAGTTCTGTCCTATAGAAACATAATGCAAACCACATGCATTCTTTCAAACTTGCTAGTATCCAAATTAAAAAGCTAACAAGAAACAGATAAAATTAATTTAAGTTAACCCAATGGACCCAAAATATTATTAACCCAACAGACCCAAAATATTAACCTAATAGATCCAAAATATTATTTTATTATACAAGTAGACTCAAAATATTATCATTTCAACATGTAATCATGTGTCATCTTGGAAAACATCAGATCCCTGTCTAGGTGGGCAAAGATTTTTCTTCGTAATATCTCATTTCCACATTTCCACTTGGCACAGAAACTGCCCCCAAGGCTCAGGATACTAAGATGCAGTAGGAATGGGTAGATGTATCTGGAGGAAAGTGACTGAATGAAATTGAGACATCAGAGTCTGGGAAACTCACTAGAACTACAGGGACAGTGTGGGGGAGGGAATTGGGAGATGTTGATCAAAGGATACAAACTATCAGGTATTCAGGAGGAATGGGTCTGAAGATCTCTTGTACAGCTTTGCCACTATGGTTGACAATACTGTACTCTATACTTGAAATTTACCAGGAAAGTAGATTTTTTTTTTAAAATATGGAACACTTCACGAATTTGCGTGTCATTCTTGCGCAGGGGCCATGCTAGTTTTCTCTGTATCGTTCCAATTTTAGTATATGTGCTGCCGAGGCAAGCATGGGAGAGTAGATTTTTTTTTTTTTTTTTTTTTTTTGAGCTGGAGTCTTGCTCTGTCACCCAGGCTGGAGTGCAGTGGCGCGATCTCGGCTCACCGCAAGCTCCGCCTCCTGGGTTCACGCCATTCTCCTGCCTCAGCCTCCCGAGTAGCTGGGACTACAGGCGCCCGCCACCACGCCCTGCTAATTTTTTGTATTTTTAGTAGAGACGGGGTTTCACTGTGTTAGCCAGGATGGTCTCGATCTCCTGACCTCGTGATCCGCCTGCCTCGGCCTCCCAAAGTACTGGGATTACAGGCATGAGCCACCACGCCCGGCTGGGA